>NC_000005.10:47032822-47061288 GCF_000001405.40 Homo sapiens
AGCATTCTCAGAAACTTCTTTGTGATGTGTGAATTGAACTCACAGAGTTGAACCTTCCTTTTGAGAGAGCCGTTTTGAAACAATCTTTTTGAAGTATCTTCAATTGGATGTTTGTAGTGATTTGAGGCCTAAGATGGAATAGGAAATATCTTCACATACAATCTAGACAGAAGCACTCTCAGAAGCTGCTTGGTGATGTCTGCATTCAACTCACAGACTTGAACCCTTGTTTTGCAAGAGCAGTGTTGAAACACACATTTTGTACGATCTGCAAGTGTTCATTTGGAACGCTGTTGTGCCTATGGTGGATAAAGAAATATCTTCACATAAATACTAGAAAGTAGCATTCTCAGAAACTGCTTTGTGATGTGTGCATTCAACTCACAGAGTTGCACCTTCCTTTTGAGAGAGAGGTTTTGAAACAGTCTTTTTGTAGTATCTGCAAGTGGATATTTTTAGTGATTTGAGGTCTAAGATGGAAAAGGAAATACCTTCACCTACAAACTAGACAGAAGAGTTCTCAGAAACTGCTTTGTGATGTGTGCATTCACCTCACAGAGTGGAACCGTTCTTTGGATAGAGCAGTTTTGAAACAGTCTTTCTCTAGTATCTGCAAGTGTTCATTTTGAGCGCTTTGAGGCCCATGATGGAAAAGGAAATATTTTCACATAAAAACTAGACAGAAGCTTTCTCAGGAACTTCATTGAGATGTGTGCATTAAAGTAACTGAGTTGAATACGTCTTTTGATAGAGCAGTATTGAAACACTTCTTTTGTAGAATCTGCCTGTGGATATCTGGAACTCTTTGAAGAATTCTTTGGAAACGGCTATCTTCACATAAAAAGTAGACCCAAGCATTCTCAGAAAGTTCTTTGTGATATGTACATTGGACTCCCAGACTTGAACCTTTCTTTTGATAGAGCAGTGCTGGAACACACTTTTTGTAGAATCTTCATGTGTTCGTCTGGAGTGCTTTGTTGCCTATGGTAGAAAAAGGAATATCTTCACCTAAAAACAAGACAGAAGCATTCTCAGAGACTGCTTTGTGATGTGTGTGTTCAATTCGCAGAGTTGGAAGTTCCTTTTGATAGAGCAGTTTTGAAACACTGCTTTTGTAGAATCTGCTTGTTGCTATTGGGGCCTCTTTGAGGAATTTGTTGTAAACGGGATATGTTCACATACAAACTAGACAGAAGCATTCTCAGAAACTGCTCTGTGATGTGTGCATTCAACTCACAGAGTTGAACCTTCCTTTTGCGAGAGCTGTTTTGAAGCAGTCTTTTTGTGGTATCTGCAATTGGATATTTGGATCGATTTGAGGCCTAAGATGGAAAAGGAAATATCTTCACATACAAACTAGACAGAAGCATTCTCAGACACTGCGTTGTGATGTGTGCATTCAACTCACAGAGTTGAACCTTCCTTTTGAGAGCAGTTTTGAAACAGTCTTTTTGAAGTATCTGCAAGTGGATGTTTGGAGAGATTTGAGGCCTAAGATGGAAAAGGATATATCTTCACCTAAAAACTAGGCAGAAGCATTCTCAGAAACTGCTTTGTGATGTGGGGATTCAACTCACAGGCTTGAAACTTTCTTTTGATACAGCAGGGTTCAAACACACTTTTTGTAGAATCTGCAAGTGTTCATTTGGAGTGCTTTCTTGCCCATGGTGGAAAAAGAAATATCTTCACCTGAAAACTAGACAGAAACATTCTCAGAAAATACTTTGTGATGTGGTTGTTCAATTCACAGGGTTGAACCTTTCTTTAGATAAAGCAGTTTTGAAACACTGCTTTTGTAGAATCTTCTTGTGGATATTTGGAGCTGTTTGAGGAATTCGTTTTAAACGGGATATCTTCACATTCAAACTAGTCAGAAGCATTCTCAGAAACTGGTTTGTGATGTGTGCATTCTACTCACAGAGTTGAACCTTCCTTTTGAGAGAGCAGTTTTGAAACAATCTTTTTGTATTCTCTACAAGTGGATACTTGGAGCAATGGGAGGACTAAGATTGAAAAGGAAATATCTTCACGGCCAAACTTGACAGAAGCTTTCTCAGAATCTGCTTTGTGATGTGTGCATTCACCTCACAGAGTGGAACCGTCCTTTTGATAGAGCAGTTCTGAAACAGTCTTTTTGTAGGATCTGCGAGTGTTCATTTTGGAGAGCTTTTAAGCCTTTGGCGGAAAAGGAAATATCTTCACAGAAAACTAGACAGAGGCATGCTCAGGAACTTCACTGAGATGTGTGCATTCAAGTAACTGAGTTGAATCTGCCTTTTGATAGAGCAGAATTGAAACACTCCTTTTGTAGAATCTGCTTGTGGATATTTGGAACTCTTTCAGGAGTTCGTTGGCAGCTGGTATCTTCACAAAAAAAGGAGACCCAAGGATTCTCAAAAAGTTCCTTGAGATGTGTGCCTTAAACTCACAGACTTCAAACTTTCTTTTGAGAGATCAGTGTTGGAACACGCTTTTTGTAGAATCTGCAAGTGTTCATTTAGTGCGCTTTGTTGCCTATGGTGGAAAAAGAAATATCTTCAAATGAAAACTAGACAGAAACATTCTCAGAAACTCCTTTGTGAAGTGTGTGTCAAATTCACAGAATTGAAATATTCCTTTGATAGCGCAGCTTTGAAACACCGCTTTTATAGGATCTGCTTGTGGATATCTGGAGCTCTTTGAGGAATTTGTTGTAAACGGGATATCTTCACATACAAAGTAGACAGAAGCATTCTCAGAAACTGCTTTGTGATGTGTGCATTCCAATCACAGACTTCAACCTTTCTTTTGAAAGAGCAGTGTTCAAACACACATTTTGTAGGATGTGCAAGTGTTCACTTGGAGCGCTTTTTTGCCTATGGTGGAAAAAGAAATATCTTCACATAAATACTAGACAGAAGCATTCTCAGAAACGCCTTAGTGATGTGTTTGTTCTATTCAGAGAGTTGAACCTTTCTTTTGATAGAGCAGTTTTGATACACTGCTTCTGTAGAATCTGCTTGTGGATATTTGGAGCTCTTTGAGGAATTCGTTGTAAACGGGATATCTTCACATACAAACTAGACAGAAGCATTCTCAGAAACTGCTTTGTGGTGTGTGCATTCAACTCACAGAGTTGAACCTTCCTTCTGAGAGAGCAGTTTTTAAACAGTCTCTTTGAAATATCTGCAAGTGGATATTTGGAGCGATGGGAAGTCTAAGTTTGAAAAGGAAATATCCTCACATACAAACTAGACAGAAGCAATCTCATTAACTGCTTTGCGATGTGTGCATTCAGCTCACAGAGTTGAACCTTCCTTTTGAGAGAGCAGTTTTGAAACAGTTTTTTGTAGTATCCTCAAGTGGATATATGGAGCGATGTGAGGCTTAAGATGGAAACGGGAATATCTTCACATGCAAACTAGAAAGAAGCATTCTCAGAAACTGCTTTGTGATGGGTGCATTCAACTCAGAGACTTGAACATTTCTTTAGACGGAGCAGTGTTGAAACACACATATGCAGAATCTGCAAGAGTTCATTTGGAGCGCTTTGATGCCTATGGTGGAAAAAGAAATATCTTCACATAAAGACTAGAAAGGAAGCGTTCTCCGAAACTCCTTTGTGATATGTGTGTTCAATTCACAGAGTTGAACCTTTCTTTTCATTGAGCAGTTTTGAAAAACTGCTTTTCTAGAATCTGCTTGTGGATATTTGGAGCTCTTTGAGGAATTCATTGTCAATGGGATATCTTCATATACAAACTAGCCAGAAGCATTCTCAGAAACTGCTTTGTGATGTGTGCATTCAACACACGGAGTTGAACCTTCCTTCTGAGAGAACAGTTTTCAAACAGTCTTTTTGTAGTATCTGCAAGTCGCTATTTGGAACGCTATGAGGCCTATGAGGGAAAAGGAACTATCTTCACATACAAACTAGACAGAAGCATGCTCAGAAACTGCTTTGTGATGTGTGTGTTCAATTCACAGGGTTGACTCTTTCTTTTGATTGAGCAGTTTTGAACAACCTGTTTTGTAGAATCTGCTTGTGGATATTTGTAGCTCTTGGAAGAATTCATTGTAAAAGGGATATCTTCACATACACACAAGTCAGAAGCATTCTCAGAAACTTCTTTGTGATGTGTGAATTGAACTCACAGAGTTGAACCTTCCTTTTGAGAGAGCCGTTTTGAAACAATCTTTTTGAAGTATCTTCAATTGGATGTTTGTAGTGATTTGAGGCCTAAGATGGAAGAGGAAATATCTTCACATACAATCTAGACAGAAGCACTCTCAGAAGCTGCTTGGTGATGTCTGCATTCAACTCACAGACTTGAACCCTTGTTTTGAAAGAGCAGTGTTGAAACACACATTTTGTACGATCTGCAAGTGTTCATTTGGAACGCTGTTGTGCCTATGGTGGATAAAGAAATATCTTCACATAAATACTAGAAAGTAGCATTCTCAGAAACTGCTTTGTGCTGTGTGCATTCAACTCACAGAGTTGAAACTTTCTTTTGAGAAAGCAGTTCTGAAAAAGTCTTTTTGTAGTATCTGCAAGTGGATATTTGGAGCGATTTGAGGCCTATGATGGAAAAGGAAATATGTTCACATACAAACTAGACAGAAGAGTTCTCAGAAACTGCTTTGAGATGTGTGCATTCACCTCACAGAGTGGAACCGTTCTTTGGATAGAGCAGTTTTGAAACAGTCTTTCTCTAGTATCTGCAAGTGTCCATTTTGAGTGCTTTGAGGCCCATGATGGAAAAGGAAATATTTTCACATAAAAACTAGACAGAAGCTTTCTCAGGAATTTCATTGAGCATGTGTGCATTAAGGTAACTGATTTGAATACGTCTTTTGATAGAGCAGTATTGAAACACTTCTTTTGTATAATCTGCCTGTGGATATCTGGAACTCTTTGAAGAATTCTTTGGAAACGGCTATCTTCACATAAAAACTAGACCCAAGCATTCTCAGAAAGTTCTTTGTGATATGTACATTGGACTCCCAGACTTGAACCTTTCTTTTGATAGAGCAGTGCTGGAACACACTTTTTGTAGAATCTTCATGTGTTCGTCTGGAGTGCTTTGTTGCCTATGGTAGAAAAAGGAATATCTTCACCTAAAAACAAGACAGAAGCATTCTCAGAGACTGCTTTGTGATGTGTGTGTTCAATTCGCTGAGTTGAATGTTCCTTTTGATAGAGCAGTTTTGAAACACTGCTTTTGTAGAATCTGCTTGTTGATATTGGGGGCTCTATGAGGAATTTGTTGTAAACGGGATATCTTCACATACAAAGTAGACAGAAGCATTCTCAGAAACTGCTCTGTGATGTGTGCATTCAACTCACAGAGTTGAACCTTCCTTTTGCGAGAGCTGTTTTGAAGCAGTCTTTTTGTGGTATCTGCAATTGGATATTTGGATCGATTTGAGGCCTAAGATGGAAAAGGAAATATCTTCACATACAAACTAGACAGAAGCATTCTCAGACACTGCGTTGTGATGTGTGCATTCAACTCACAGAGTTGAACCTTCCTTTTGAGAGCAGTTTTGAAACAGTCTCTTTGAAGTATCTGCAAGTGGATGTTTGGAGAGATTTGAGGCCTAAGATGGAAAAGGATATATCTTCACCTAAAAACTAGGCAGAAGCATTCTCAGAAACTGCTTTGTGATGTGGGGATTCAACTCACAGGCTTGAAACTTTCTTTTGATACAGCAGGGTTCAAACACACTTTTTGTAGAATCTGCAAGTGTTCATTTGGAGTGCTTTCTTGCCCATGGTGGAAAAAGAAATATCTTCACGTAAAAACTAGACAGAAACATTCTCAGAAAATACTTTGTGATGTGGTTGTTCAATTCACAGGGTTGAACCTTTCTTTAGATAAAGCAGTTTTGAAACACTGCTTTTGTAGAATCTTCTTGTGGATATTTGGAGCTGTTTGAGGAATTCGTTTTAAACGGGATATCTTCACATTCAAACTAGTCAGAAGCATCCTCAGAAACTGGTTTGTGATGTGTGCATTCTACTCACAGAGTTGAACCTTCCTTTTGAGAGAACAGTTTTGAAACAATCTTTTTGTACTATCTGCAAGTGGATATTTGGAACAATGGGAGGACTAAGATGGAAAAGGAAATATCTTCACAGCCAAACTTGACAGAAGCTTTCTCAGAATCTGCTTTGTGATGTGTGCATTTACCTCACAGAGTGGAACCGTCCTTTTGATAGAGCAGTTCTGAAACAGTCTTTTTGTAGGATCTGCGAGTGTTCATTTTGGAGCGCTTTTAAGCCTTTGGCGGAAAAGGAAATATCTTCACAAAAAAACTAGACAGAGGCATGCTCAGGAACTTCACTGAGATGTGTGCATTCAAGTAACTGAGTTGAATCTGCCTTTTGATAGAGCAGAATTGAAACACTCCTTTTGTAGAATCTGCTTGTGGATATTTGGAACTCTTTCAGGAGTTCGTTGGCAGCTGGTATCTTCACAAAAAAAGGAGACCCAAGGATTCTCAAAAAGTTCCTTGAGATGTGTGCCTTAAACTCACAGACTTCAAACTTTCTTTTGAGAGATCAGTGTTGGAACACGCTTTTTGTAGAATCTGCAAGTGTTCATTTAGTGCGCTTTGTTGCCTATGGTGGAAAAAGAAATATCTTCAAATGAAAACTAGACAGAAACATTCTCAGAAACTCCTTTGTGAAGTGTGTGTCAAATTCACAGAATTGAAATATTCCTTTGATAGCGCAGCTTTGAAACACCGCTTTTATAGGATCTGCTTGTGGATATCTGGAGCTCTTTGAGGAATTTGTTGTAAACGGGATATCTTCACATACAAAGTAGACAGAAGCATTCTCAGAAACTGCTTTGTGATGTGTGCATTCCAATCACAGACTTCAACCTTTCTTTTGAAAGAGCAGTGTTCAAACACACATTTTGTAGGATGTGCAAGTGTTCACTTGGAGCGCTTTTTTGCCTATGGTGGAAAAAGAAATATCTTCACATAAATACTAGACAGAAGCATTCTCAGAAACGCCTTAGTGATGTGTTTGTTCTATTCAGAGAGTTGAACCTTTCTTTTGATAGAGCAGTTTTGATACACTGCTTCTGTAGAATCTGCTTGTGGATATTTGGAGCTCTTTGAGGAATTCGTTGTAAACGGGATATCTTCACATACAAACTAGACAGAAGCATTCTCAGAAACTGCTTTGTGGTGTGTGCATTCAACTCACAGAGTTGAACCTTCCTTCTGAGAGAGCAGTTTTTAAACAGTCTCTTTGAAATATCTGCAAGTGGATATTTGGAGCGATGAGAAGTCTAAGTTTGAAAAGGAAATACCCTCACATACAAACTAGACAGAAGCAATCTCATTAACTGCTTTGCGATGTGTGCATTCAGCTCACAGAGTTGAACCTTCCTTTTGAGAGAGCAGTTTTGAAACAGTTTTTTGTAGTATCCTCAAGTGGATATATGGAGCGATGTGAGGCTTAAGATGGAAACGAGAATATCTTCACATACAAACTAGAAAGAAGCATTCTCAGAAACTGCTTTGTGATGGGTGCATTCAACTCAGAGACTTGAACATTTCTTTAGACGGAGCAGTGTTGAAACACACATATGCAGAATCTGCAAGAGTTCATTTGGAGCGCTTTGATGCCTATGGTGGAAAAAGAAATATCTTCACATAAAGACTAGAAAGAAGCGTTCTCCGAAACTCCTTTGTGATATATGTGTTCAGTTCACAGAGTTGAACCTTTCTTTTGATTGAGCAGTTTTGAAACACTGCTTTTCTAGAATCTGCTTTTGGATATTTGAAGCTCTTTGACGAATTCACTGTCAATGTTATATCTTCACATACAAACTAGACAGAAGCATTCTCAGAAACTGCTTTTTGATGTGTGCATTCAACACACGGAGTTGAACCTTCCTTCTGAGAACAGTTTTGAAGCAGTCTTTTTGTGGTATCTGCAAGTCGATATTTGGAACGATTTGGGACCTATGAGGGAAAAGGAACTATCTTCACGTACAAGCTAGACAGAAGCATTCTCAGAAACTGCTTTGTGATGTGTGCATTCAACACACGGAGTTGAACCTTCCTTCTGAGAGAACAGTTTTCAAACAGTCTTTTTGTAGTATCTGCAAGTCGCTATTTGGAACGCTATGAGGCCTATGAGGGAAAAGGAACTATCTTCACATACAAACTAGACAGAAGCATGCTCAGAAACTGCTGTGTGATGTGTGCATTCAACTCACAGAGTTGAACCTTCCTTTTGAGAGAGACGTTTTGAAACAGTCTTTTTGTAGTATGTACAGGTGGATATTTTTGGTGATTTGAGGTCTAAGATGGAAAAGGAAATACCTTCACCTACAAACTAGACAGAAGCATTCTCAGAAACTGCTTTGTGATGTGTGCATTAAATGTACAGACTTGAAACCTTATTTTGATAGAGCAGTGTTGAAACACACTTTTTATAGAATCTGCAAGTGTTCATTTTGAGAGCTTTGTTGCCTGTGGTGGAAAAAGAAATGTGTTCACATACAAACTAGAAAGAAGCCTTCTCAGAAACTCCTTTGAGATGTTTGTGTCCAATTCACAAAGTTGAACCTTTCTATTGATACAGCAGATTTGAAACTCTGCTTTTGTAGAATCTGCTTGTGAATATTTGGAGGTATTTGAGGAATTGGACGTATACGGGATATCTTCACATACAAATTACACAGAAGCATTGTCAGAAACTGCTTTGTGCTGTGTGCATTCAACTCACAGAGTTGAAACTTTCTTTTGAGAAAGCAGTTCCGAAACAGTCTTTTTGTAGTATCTGCAAGTGGATATTTGGAGCGATTTGAGGCCTATGATGGAAAAGGAAATATGTTCACATACAAACTAGACAGAAGCGTTCTGAGAAACTGCTTTGTGATGTGTGCATTCACCTCACAGAGTGGAACCTTTCTTTGGATAGAGCAGTTTTGAAACAGTCTTTCTCTAGTATCTGCAAGTGTTCATTTTGAGCGCTTTGAGGCCCATGATGGAAAAGGAAATATTTTCACATAAAAACTAGACAGAAGCTTTCTCAGGACCTTCACTGAGATGTGTGCATTAAAGTAACTGAGTGGAATACGTCTTTTGATAGAGCAGTATTGAAACACTTCTTTTGTAGAATCTGCCTGTGGATATCTGGAACTCTTTGAAGAATTCTTTGGAAACGGCTATCTTCACATAAAAAGTAGACCCAAGCATTCTCAGAAAGTTCTTTGTGATATGTACATTGGACTCCCAGACTTGAACCTTTCTTTCGATAGAGCAGTGTTGGAACACACTTTTTGTAGAATCTTCATGTGTTCGTTTGGAGTGCTTTGTTGCCTCTGGTGGAAAAAGGAATATCTTCACCTAAAAACCAGACAGAAGCATTCTCAGAGACTGCTTTGTGATGTGTGTGTTCAATTCGCAGAGTTGGAAGTTCCTTTTGATAGAGCAGTTTTGAAACACTGCTTTTGTAGAATCTGCTTGTTGCTATTGGGGGCTCTTTGAGGAATTTGTTGTAAACGGGATATCCTTCACATACAAACTAGACAGAAGCATTCTCAGAAACTGCTCTGTGATGTGTGCATTCAACTCACAGAGTTGAACCTTCCTTTTGTGAGAGCTGTTTTGAAGCAGTCTTTTTCTGGTACCTGCAATTGGATATTTGGATCGATTTGAGGCCTAAGATGGAAAAGGAAATATCTTCACATACAAACTAGACAGAAGCGTTCTCAGACACTGCGTTGTGATGTGTGCATTCAACTCACAGAGTTGAACCTTCCTTTTGAGAGCAGTTTTGAAACAGTCTTTTTGAAGTATCTGCAAGTGGATGTTTGGAGAGATTTGAGGCCTAAGATGGAAAAGGATATACCTTCACCTAAAAACTAGGCAGAAGCATTCTCAGAAACTGCTTTGTGATGTGGGGATTCAACTCACAGACTTGAAACTTTCTTTTGATAGAGCAGTGTTGAAACACACTTTTTGTAGAATCTGCAAGTGTTCATTTGGAGTGCTTTCTTCCCCATGGTGGAAAAAGAAATATCTTCACCTAAAAACTAGACAGAAACTTTCTCAGAAAATACTTTGTGATGTAGTTGTTCAATTCACAGGGTTGAACCTTTCTTTAGATAAAGCAGTTTTGAAACACTGCTTTTGTAGAATCTTCTTGTGGATATTTGGAGCTGTTTGAGGAATTCGTTTTAAACGGGATATCTTCACATTCAAACTAGTCAGAAGCATCCTCAGAAACTGGTTTGTGATGTGTGCATTCTACTCACAGAGTTGAACCTTCCTTTTGAGAGAACAGTTTTGAAACAATCTTTTTGTACTATCTGCAAGTGGATATTTGGAACAATGGGAGGACTAAGATGGAAAAGGAAATATCTTCACAGCCAAACTTGACAGAAGCTTTCTCAGAATCTGCTTTGTGATGTGTGCATTCACCTCACAGAGTGGAACCGTCCTTTTGATAGAGCAGTTCTGAAACAGTCTTTTTGTAGGATCTGCGAGTGTTCATTTTGGAGAGCTTTTAAGCCTTTGGCGGAAAAGGAAATATCTTCACAGAAAACTAGACAGAGGCATGCTCAGGAACTTCATTGAGATGTGTGCATTCAAGTAACTGAGTTGAATCTGCCTTTTGATAGAGCAGAATTGAAACACTCCTTTTGTAGAATATGCTTGTGGATATTTGGAACTCTTTCAGGAATTCGTTGGAAGCTGGTATCTTCCCAAAAAAAGGAAACCCAAGCATTCTCAAAAAGTTCTTTGAGATGTGTGCCTTCAACTCACAGACTTCAAACATTCTTTTGAGAGATCAGTGTTGGAACACGCTTTTTGTAGAATCTGCAAGGGTTCATTTAGTGCGCTTTGTTGCCTATAGTGGAAAAAGAAATATCTTCAAATGAAAACTAGACAGAAACATTCTCAGAAACTCCTTTGTGAAGTGTGTGTCAAATTCACAGAATTGAAATTTTCTTATGATAGAGCAGTTTTGAAACACCGCATTTATAGGATCTGCTTGTGGATATTTGGAGCTCTTTGAGTATTTCGTTGTAAACGGGATATCTTCACATACAAACTAGACAGAAGCATTCACAGAAACTGCTTAGTGATGTGTGCATTCAACTCACAGACTTGAACCTTTCTCTTGAAAGAGCAGTGTTGGAACAAACATTTTGTAGGATGTGCAAGTGTTCACTTGGAGCGTTTTTTTGCCTATGGTGGAAAAAGAAATATCTTCACATAAATACTAGACAGAAGCATTCTCAGAAACTCCTTTTTGATGTGTTTGTTCTATTCAGAGAGTTGAACCTTTCTTTTGATAGAGCAGTTTTGATACACTGCTTCTGTAGAATCTGCTTGTGGATATTTGGAGCTCTTTGAGGAATTCGTTGTAAACGGGATATCTTCGCATACAAACTAGACAGCAGCATTCTCAGAAACTGCTTTGTGGTGTGTGCATTCAACTCACAGAGTTGAACCTTCCTTCTGAGAGAGCAGTTTTTAAACAGTCTCTTTGAAATATCTGCAAGTGGATATTTGGAGCGATGGGAAGTCTAAGTTTGAAAAGGAAATATCCTCACATACAAACTAGACAGAAGCAATCTCATTAACTGCTTTGCGATGTGTGCATTCAGCTCACAGAGTTGAACCTTCCTTTTGAGAGAGCAGTTTTGAAACAGTTTTTTGTAGTATCCTCAAGTGGATATATGGAGCGATGTGAGGCTTAAGATGGAAACGGGAATATCTTCACATGCAAACTAGAAAGAAGCATTCTCAGAAACTGCTTTGTGATGGGTGCATTCAACTCAGAGACTTGAACATTTCTTTAGACGGAGCAGTGTTGAAACACACATATGCAGAATCTGCAAGAGTTCATTTGGAGCGCTTTGATGCCTATGGTGGAAAAAGAAATATCTTCACATAAAGACTAGAAAGAAGCGTTCTCCGAAACTCCTTTGTGATATATGTGTTCAGTTCACAGAGTTGAACCTTTCTTTTGATTGAGCAGTTTTGAAACACTGCTTTTCTAGAATCTGCTTTTGGATATTTGAAGCTCTTTGACGAATTCGCTGTCAATGTTATATCTTCACATACAAACTAGACAGAAGCATTCTCAGAAACTGCTTTTTGATGTGTGCATTCAACACACGGAGTTGAACCTTCCTTCTGAGAACAGTTTTGAAGCAGTCTTTTTGTGGTATCTGCAAGTCGATATTTGGAACGATTTGGGACCTATGAGGGAAAAGGAACTATCTTCACATACAAGCTAGACAGAAGCATTCTCAGAAACTGCTTTGTGATGTGTGCATTCAACACACGGAGTTGAACCTTCCTTCTGAGAGAACGGTTTTCAAACAGTCTTTTTGTAGTATCTGCAAGTCGATATTTGGAACGATTTGAGGCCTATGAGGGAAAAGGAACTATCTTCACATACAAACTAGACAGAAGCATGCTCAGAAACTGCTGTGTGATGTGTGCATTCAACTCACAGAGTTGAACCTTCCTTTTGAGAGAGACGTTTTGAAACAGTCTTTTTGTAGTATGTACAGGTGGATATTTTTGGTGATTTGAGGTCTAAGATGGAAAAGGAAATACCTTCACCTACAAACTAGACAGAAGCATTCTCAGAAACTGCTTTGTGATGTGTGTATTAAACTTACAGACTTGAAACCATATTTTGATAGAGCAGTGTTGAAACACACTTTTCATAGAATCTGCAAGTGTTCATTTGGAGAGCTTTGTTGCCTGAGGTGGAAAAAGAAACGTGTTCACATACAAACTAGAAACAAGCATTCTCAGAAACTCCTTTGAGATGTTTGTGTCCAATTCACAAAGTTGAACCTTTCTTTTGATAGAGCATATTTGAAACACTGCTTTTGTAGAATCTGCTTGCGGATATTTGGAGGTCTTTGAGGAATTAGGCGTATACGGGAGATCTTTACATACAAGTTACACAGAAGCATTCTCAGAAACTGCTCTGTGATGTGTGCATTCAACTAACAGAGTTGAAACTTTCTTTGGAGAAAGCAGTTCTGAAACAGTCTTTTTGTAGTATCTGCAAGTGGATACTTGGAGCGATTTGAGGCCTATGATGGAAAAGGAAATATGTTCACTTACAAACTAGACAGAAGCATTCTCAGAAACTGCTTTGTGATGTGTGTGTTCAATTCACAGGGTTGACTCTTTCTTTTGATTGAGCAGTTTTGAACCACCTGTTTTGTAGAATCTGCTTGTGGATATTTGTAGCTCTTGGAGGAATTCTTTGTAAAAGGGATATCTTCACATACACACTAGTCAGAAGCATTCTCAGAAACTTCTTTGTGATGTGTGAATTGAACTCACAGAGTTGAACCTTCCTTTTGAGAGAGCCGTTTTGAAACAATCTTTTTGAAGTATCTTCAATTGGATGTTTGTAGTGATTTGAGGCCTAAGATGGAATAGGAAATATCTTCACATACAATCTAGACAGAAGCACTCTCAGAAGCTGCTTGGTGATGTCTGCATTCAACTCACAGACTTGAACCCTTGTTTTGAAAGAGCAGTGTTGAAACACACATTTTGTACGATCTGCAAGTGTTCATTTGGAACGCTGTTGTGCCTATGGTGGATAAAGAAATATCTTCACATAAATACTAGAAAGTAGCATTCTCAGAAACTGCTTTGTGATGTGTGCATTCAACTCACAGAGTTGCACCTTCCTTTTGAGAGAGAGGTTTTGAAACAGTCTTTTTGTAGTATCTGCAAGTGGATATTTTTAGTGATTTGAGGTCTAAGATGGAAAAGGAAATACCTTCACCTACAAACTAGACAGAAGCATTCTCAGAAACTGCTTTGTGATGTGTGCATTTAACTTACAGACTTGAAACTTTATTTTGATAGAGCAGTATTGAAACACACTTTTTATAGAATCTGCAAGTGTTCATTTGGAGAGCTTTGTTGCCTGTGGTGGAAAAAGGAATATGTTCACATAGAAATTAGAAAGAAGCATTCTCAGAAACTCCTTTGTGATGTTTGTGTCCAATTCACAAAGTTGAACCTTTCTTTTGATAGAGCAGATTTGAAACACTGCTTTTGTAGAATCTGCTTGCAGATATTTGGAGGTCTTTGAGGAATTGGGCGTATATGGGAGATCTTCACATACAAGTTACACAGAAGCATTCTCAGAAACTGCTTTGTGATGTGTGCATTCAACTCACAGAGTTGAAACTTTCTCTTGAGAAAGCAGTATTGAAACAGTCTTTCTGTAGTATCTGCCAGGGGATATTTGGAGCGATTTGAGGCCTATGATGGAAAAGGAAATACGTTCACATACAACCTAGACAGAAGCGTTCTCAGAAACTGCTTTGTGATGTGTGCATTCACCTCACAGAGTGGAACCGTTCTTTGGATAGAGCAGTTTTGAAACAGTCTTTCTCTAGTATCTGCAAGTGTTCATTTTGAGCGCTTTGAGGCCCATGATGGAAAAGGAAATATTTTCACATAAAAACTAGACAGAAGCTTTCTCAGGAACTACATTGAGATGTGTGCATTAAAGTAACTGAGTTGAATACGTCTTTTGATAGAGCAGTATTGAAACACTTCTTTTGTAGAATCTGCCTGTGGATATCTGGAACTCTTTGAAGAATTCTTTGGAAACGGCTATCTTCACATAAAAAGTAGACCCAAGCATTCTCAGAAAGTTCTTTGTGATATGTACATTGGACTCCCAGACTTGAACCTTTCTTTTGATACAGCAGTGTTGGAACACACATTTGTAGAATCTTCATATGTTCGTTTGGAGTGCTCTGTTGCCTATGGTGGAAAAAGGAATATCTTCACCTAAAAACCAGACAGAAGCATTCTCAGAGACTGCTTTGTGATGTGTGTGTTCAATTCGCAGAGTTGGAAGTTCCTTTTGATAGAGCAATTTTGAAACACTGCTTTTGTAGAATCTGCTTGTTGCTATTGGGGGCTCTTTGAGGAATTTGTTGTAAACGGGATATCTTCACATACAAACTAGACAGAAGCATTCTCACAAACTGCTCTGTGATGTGTGCATTCAACTCACAGAGTTGAACCTTCCTTTTGCGAGAGCTGTTTTGAAGCAGTCTTTTTGTGGTGTCTGCAATTGGATATTTGGATCGATTTGAGGCCTAAGATGGAAAAGGAAATATCTTCACATGCAAACTAGACAGAAGCATTCTCAGACACTGCGTTGTGATGTGTGCATTCAACTCACAGAGTTGAACCTTCCTTTTGAGAGCAGTTTTGAAAC
Source organism: Homo sapiens (assembly GCF_000001405.40). Lineage (NCBI taxonomy): Eukaryota > Metazoa > Chordata > Mammalia > Primates > Hominidae > Homo > Homo sapiens. The sequence continues at coordinate 47,048,073 of NC_000005.10, forward strand.
AGTCTTTTTGAAGTATCTGCAAGTGGATGTTTGGAGAGATTTGAGGCCTAAGATGGAAAAGGATATATCTTCACCTAAAAACTAGGCAGAAGCATTCTCAGAAACTGCTTTGTGATGTGGGGATTCAACTCACAGGCTTGAAACTTTCTTTTGATACAGCAGGGTTGAAACACACTTTTTGTAGAATCTGCAAGTGTTCATTTGGAGTGCTTTCTTGCTCATGGTGGAAAAAGAAATATCTTCACGTAAAAACTAGACAGAAACATTCTCAGAAAATACTTTGTGATGTAGTTGTTCAATTCACAGGGTTGAACCTTTCTTTAGATAAAGCAGTTTTGAAACACTGCTTTTGTAGAATCTTCTTGTGGATATTTGGAGCTGTTTGAGGTATTCGGTTTAAATGGGATATCTTCACATTCAAACTAGTCAGAAGCATTCTCAGAAACTGGTTTGTGATGTGTGCATTCTACTCACAGAGTTGAACCTTCCTTTTGAGAGAGCAGTTTTGAAACAATCTTTTTGTATTCTCTACAAGTGGATACTTGGAGCAATGGGAGGACTAAGATTGAAAAGGAAATATCTTCACGGCCAAACTTGACAGAAGCTTTCTCAGAATCTGCTTTGTGATGTGTGCATTTACCTCACAGAGTGGAACCGTCCTTTTGATAGAGCAGTTCTGAAACAGTCTTTTTGTAGGATCTGCGAGTGTTCATTTTGGAGCGCTTTTAAGCCTTTGGCGGAAAAGGAAATATCTTCACAAAAAAACTAGACAGAGGCATGCTCAGGAACTTCACTGAGATGTGTGCATTCAAGTAACTGAGTTGAATCTGCCTTTTGATAGAGCAGAATTGAAACACTCCTTTTGTAGAATCTGCTTGTGGATATTTGGAACTCTTTCAGGAGTTCGTTGGCAGCTGGTATCTTCACAAAAAAAGGAGACCCAAGGATTCTCAAAAAGTTCCTTGAGATGTGTGCCTTAAACTCACAGACTTCAAACTTTCTTTTGAGAGATCAGTGTTGGAACACGCTTTTTGTAGAATCTGCAAGTGTTCATTTAGTGCGCTTTGTTGCCTATGGTGGAAAAAGAAATATCTTCAAATGAAAACTAGACAGAAACATTCTCAGAAACTCCTTTGTGAAGTGTGTGTCAAATTCACAGAATTGAAATATTCCTTTGATAGCGCAGCTTTGAAACACCGCTTTTATAGGATCTGCTTGTGGATATCTGGAGCTCTTTGAGGAATTTGTTGTAAACGGGATATCTTCACATACAAAGTAGACAGAAGCATTCTCAGAAACTGCTTTGTGATGTGTGCATTCCAATCACAGACTTCAACCTTTCTTTTGAAAGAGCAGTGTTCAAACACACATTTTGTAGGATGTGCAAGTGTTCACTTGGAGCGCTTTTTTGCCTATGGTGGAAAAAGAAATATCTTCACATAAATACTAGACAGAAGCATTCTCAGAAACTCCTTTGTGATGTGTTTGTTCTATTCAGAGTGTTGAACCTTTATTTTGATAGAGCAGAATTGAAACACTCCTTTTGTAGAATCTGCTTGTGGATATTTGGAGCTCTTTGAGGAATTCGTTGTAAACGGGATATCTTCACATACAAACTAGACAGCAGCATTCTCAGAAACTGCCTTGTGGTGTGTGCATTCAACTCACATAGGTGAACCTTCCTTCTGAGAGAGCAGTTTTTAAACAGTCTCTTTGAAATAACTGCAAGTGGATATTTGGAGCGATGGGAAGTCTAAGATTGAAAAGGAAATATCCTCACATACAAACTAGACAGAAGCAATCTCATTAACTGCTTTGTGATGTGTGCATTCAGCTCACAGAGTTGAACCTTCCTTTTGAGAGAGCAGTTTTGAAACAGTTTTTTGTAGTATCCTCAAGTGGATATATGGAGCGATGTGAGGCTTAAGATGGAAACGGGAATATCTTCACATACAAACTAGATAGAAGCATTCTCAGAAACTCCTTTGTGATGGGTGCATTCAACACAGAGACTTGAACATTTCTTTAGACGGAGCAGTGTTGAAACACACATTTGTAGAATCTGCAAGTGTTCATTTGGAGCGCTTTGATGCCTATGGTGGAAAAAGAAATATCTTCACATAAAGACTAGAAAGAAGTGTTCTCCGAAACTCCTTTGTGATATGTGTGTTCAATGCACAGAGATGAACCTTTCTTTTGATTGAGCAGTTTTGAAACACTGCTTTTCTAGAATCTGCTTGTGGATATTTGGAGCTCTTTGAGGAATTCGCTGTCAATGGGATATCTTCACATACAAACTAGCCAGAAGCATTCTCAGAAACTGCTTTGTGATGTGTGCATTCAACACACGGAGTTGAACCTTCCTTGTGAGAGAAGAGTTTTCAAACAGTCTTTTTGTAGTACCTGCAAGTCGATATTTGGAACGATTTGAGGCCTATGAGGGAAAAGGAACTATTTTCACATACAAACTAGACAGAAGCATGCTCAGAAACTGCTTTGTGATGTGCGCATTCAACTCACAGAGTTGAACCTTCCTTTTGAGAGAGAGGTTTTGAAACAGTCTTTTTGTAGCATATACAAGTGGATATTTTTAGTGATTTGAGGTCTAATATGGAAAAGGAAATACCTTCACCTACAAACTAGACAGAAGCATTCTCAGAAACTGCTTTGTGATGTGTGCATTAAATGTACAGACTTGAAACCTTATTTTGATAGAGCAGTGTTGAAACACACTTTTTATAGAATCTGCAAGTGTTCATTTTGAGAGCTTTGTTGCCTGTGGTGGAAAAAGAAATGTGTTCACATACAAACTAGAAAGAAGCCTTCTCAGAAACTCCTTTGAGATGTTTGTGTCCAATTCACAAAGTTGAACCTTTCTATTGATACAGCAGATTTGAAACTCTGCTTTTGTAGAATCTGCTTGTGAATATTTGGAGGTATTTGAGGAATTGGACGTATACGGGATATCTTCACATACAAATTACACAGAAGCATTCTCAGAAACTGCTCTGTGATGTGTGCATTCAACTAACAGAGTTGAAACTTTCTTTGGAGAAAGCAGTTCTGAAACAGTCTTTTTGTAGTATCTGCAAGTGGATACTTGGAGCGATTTGAGGCCTATGATGGAAAAGGAAATATGTTCACTTACAAACTAGACAGAAGCATGCTCAGAAACTGCTTTGTGATGTGTGTGTTCAATTCACAGGGTTGACTCTTTCTTTTGATTGAGCAGTTTTGAACAACCTGTTTTGTAGAATCTGCTTGTGGATATTTGTAGCTCTTGGAAGAATTCATTGTAAAAGGGATATCTTCACATACACACAAGTCAGAAGCATTCTCAGAAACTTCTTTGTGATTGTGAATTGAACTCACAGAGTTGATCCTTCCTTCTGAGAGAGCCGTTTTGAAACAATCTTTTTGAAGTATCTTCAATTGGATACTTGTAGTGATTTGAGGCCTAAGATGGAAAAGGAAATATCTTCACATACAATCTAGACAGAAGCACTCTCAGAAGCTGCTTGGTGATGTCTGCATTCAACTCACAGACTTGAACCCTTGTTTTGCAAGAGCAGTGTTGAAACACACATTTTGTACGATCTGCAAGTGTTCATTTGGAACGCTGTTGTGCCTATGGTGGATAAAGAAATATCTTCACATAAATACTAGAAAGTAGCATTCTCAGAAACTGCTTTGTGATGTGTGCATTCAACTCACAGAGTTGCACCTTCCTTTTGAGAGAGAGGTTTTGAAACAGTCTTTTTGTAGTATCTGCAAGTGGATATTTTTAGTGATTTGAGGTCTAAGATGGAAAAGGAAATACCTTCACCTGCAAACTAGACAGAAGCATTCTCAGAAACTGCTTTGTGATGTGTGCATTAAACTTACAGACTTGAAACTTTATTTTGATAGAGCAGTGTTGAAACACACTTTTTATAGAATCTGCAAGTGTTCATTTGGAGAGCTTTGTTGCCTGTGGTGGAAAAAGGAATATGTTCACCTAGAAACTAGAAAGAAGCCTTCTCAGAAACTCCTTTGAGATGTTTGTGTCCAATTCACAAAGTTGAACCTTTCTTTTGATAGAGCAGATTTGAAACACTGCTTTTGTAGAATCTGCTTGCGGATATTTGGCGGTCTTTTAGGAATTGGGCGTATACGGGAGATCTTCACATACAAGTTACACAGAAGCATTCTCAGAAACTGCTCTGTGATGTGTGCATTCAACTCACAGAGTTGAAACTTTCTTTGGAGAAAGCTGTTCTGAAACAGTCTTTTTGTAGTATCTGCAAGTGGATATTTGGAGCGATTTCAGGCCTATGATGGAAAAGGAAATATGTTCACATACAAACTAGACAGAAGCGTTCTCAGAAACTGCTTTGTGATGTGTGCATTCACCTCACAGAGTGGAACCGTTCTTTGGATAGAGCAGTTTTGAAACAGTCTTTCTCTAGTATCTGCAAGTGTTCATTTTGAGCGCTTTGAGGCCCATGATGGAAAAGTTAATATTTTCACATAAACCTAGACAGAAGCTTTCTCAGGAACTTCATTGAGATGTGTGCATTAAAGTAACTGAGTTGAATACGTCTTTTGATAGAGCAGTATTGAAACACTTCTTTTGTAGAATCTGCCTGTGGATATCTGGAACTCTTTGAAGAATTCTTTGGAAACGGCTATCTTCACATAAAAAGTAGACCCAAGCATTCTCAGAAAGTTCTTTGTGATATGTACATTGGACTCCCAGACTTGAACCTTTCTTTTGATAGAGCAGTGCTGGAACACACTTTTTGTAGAATCTTCATGTGTTCGTCTGGAGTGCTTTGTTGCCTATGGTAGAAAAAGGAATATCTTCACCTAAAAACAAGACAGAAGCATTCTCAGAGACTGCTTTGTGATGTGTGTGTTCAATTCGCTGAGTTGAATGTTCCTTTTGATAGAGCAGTTTTGAAACACTGCTTTTGTAGAATCTGCTTGTTGATATTGGGGGCTCTATGAGGAATTTGTTGTAAACGGGATATCTTCACATACAAAGTAGACAGAAGCATTCTCAGAAACTGCTCTGTGATGTGTGCATTCAACTCACAGAGTTGAACCTTCCTTTTGCGAGAGCTGTTTTGAAGCAGTCTTTTTGTGGTATCTGCAATTGGATATTTGGATCGATTTGAGGCCTAAGATGGAAAAGGAAATATCTTCACATACAAACTAGACAGAAGCATTCTCAGACACTGCGTTGTGATGTGTGCATTCAACTCACAGAGTTGAACCTTCCTTTTGAGAGCAGTTTTGAAACAGTCTTTTTGAAGTATCTGCAAGTGGATGTTTGGAGAGATTTGAGGCCTAAGATGGAAAAGGATATATCTTCACCTAAAAACTAGGCAGAAGCATTCTCAGAAACTGCTTTGTGATGTGGGGATTCAACTCACAGGCTTGAAACTTTCTTTTGATAGAGCAGGGTTCAAACACACTTTTTGTAGAATCTGCAAGTGTTCATTTGGAGTGCTTTCTTGCCCATGGTGGAAAAAGAAATATCTTCACGTAAAAACTAGACAGAAACATTCTCAGAAAATACTTTGTGATGTGGTTGTTCAATTCACAGGGTTGAACCTTTCTTTAGATAAAGCAGTTTTGAAACACTGCTTTTGTAGAATCTTCTTGTGGATATTTGGAGCTGTTTGAGGAATTCGTTTTAAACGGGATATCTTCACATTCAAACTAGTCAGAAACATTCTCAGAAACTGGTTTGTGATGTGTGCATTCTACTCACAGAGTTGAACCTTCCTTTTGAGAGAGCAGTTTTGAAACAATCTTTTTGTATTCTCTACAAGTGGATACTTGGAGCAAAGGGAGACTAAGATTGAAAAGGAAATATCTTCACGGCCAAACTTGACAGAAGCTTTCTCAGAATCTGCTTTGTGATGTGTGCATTTACCTCACAGAGTGGAACCGTCCCTTTTGATAGAGCAGTTCTGAAACAGTCTTTTTGTAGGATCTGCGAGTGTTCATTTTGGAGCGCTTTTAAGCCTTTGGCGGAAAAGGAAATATCTTCACAAAAAAACTAGACAGAGGCATGCTCAGGAACTTCACTGAGATGTGTGCATTCAAGTAACTGAGTTGAATCTGCCTTTTGATAGAGCAGAATTGAAACACTCCTTTTGTAGAATCTGCTTGTGGATATTTGGAACTCTTTCAGGAGTTCGTTGGCAGCTGGTATCTTCACAAAAAAAGGAGACCCAAGGATTCTCAAAAAGTTCCTTGAGATGTGTGCCTTAAACTCACAGACTTCAAACTTTCTTTTGAGAGATCAGTGTTGGAACACGCTTTTTGTAGAATCTGCAAGTGTTCATTTAGTGCGCTTTGTTGCCTATGGTGGAAAAAGAAATATCTTCAAATGAAAACTAGACAGAAACATTCTCAGAAACTCCTTTGTGAAGTGTGTGTCAAATTCACAGAATTGAAATATTCCTTTGATAGCGCAGCTTTGAAACACCGCTTTTATAGGATCTGCTTGTGGATATCTGGAGCTCTTTGAGGAATTTGTTGTAAACGGGATATCTTCACATACAAAGTAGACAGAAGCATTCTCAGAAACTGCTTTGTGATGTGTGCATTCCAATCACAGACTTCAACCTTTCTTTTGAAAGAGCAGTGTTCAAACACACATTTTGTAGGATGTGCAAGTGTTCACTTGGAGCGCTTTTTTGCCTATGGTGGAAAAAGAAATATCTTCACATAAATACTAGACAGAAGCAATCTCATTAACTGCTTTGCGATGTGTGCATTCAGCTCACAGAGTTGAACCTTCCTTTTGAGAGAGCAGTTTTGAAACAGTTTTTTGTAGTATCCTCAAGTGGATATATGGAGCGATGTGAGGCTTAAGATGGAAACGGGAATATCTTCACATGCAAACTAGAAAGAAGCATTCTCAGAAACTCCTTTGTGATGGGTGCATTCAACACAGAGACTTGAACATTTCTTTAGACGGAGCAGTGTTGAAACACACATTTGTAGAATCTGCAAGTGTTCATTTGGAGCGCTTTGATGCCTATGGTGGAAAAAGAAATATCTTCACATAAAGACTAGAAAGAAGTGTTCTCCGAAACTCCTTTGTGATATGTGTGTTCAATGCACAGAGATGAACCTTTCTTTTGATTGAGCAGTTTTGAAACACTGCTTTTCTAGAATCTGCTTGTGGATATTTGGAGCTCTTTGAGGAATTCGCTGTCAATGGGATATCTTCACATACAAACTAGCCAGAAGCATTCTCAGAAACTGCTTTGTGATGTGTGCATTCAACACACGGAGTTGAACCTTCCTTGTGAGAGAAGAGTTTTCAAACAGTCTTTTTGTAGTACCTGCAAGTCGATATTTGGAACGATTTGAGGCCTATGAGGGAAAAGGAACTATTTTCACATACAAACTAGACAGAAGCATGCTCAGAAACTGCTTTGTGATGTGCGCATTCAACTCACAGAGTTGAACCTTCCTTTTGAGAGAGAGGTTTTGAAACAGTCTTTTTGTAGCATATACAAGTGGATATTTTTAGTGATTTGAGGTCTAATATGGAAAAGGAAATACCTTCACCTACAAACTAGACAGAAGCATTCTCAGAAACTGCTTTGTGATGTGTGCATTAAACTTACAGACTTGAAACTTTATTTTGATAGAGCAGTGTTGAAACACACTTTTTATAGAATCTGCAAGTGTTCATTTGGAGAGCTTTGTTGCCTGTGGTGGAAAAAGGAATATGTTCACCTAGAAACTAGAAAGAAGCCTTCTCAGAAACTCCTTTGAGATGTTTGTGTCCAATTCACAAAGTTGAACCTTTCTTTTGATAGAGCAGATTTGAAACACTGCTTTTGTAGAATCTGCTTGCGGATATTTGGCGGTCTTTTAGGAATTGGGCGTATACGGGAGATCTTCACATACAAGTTACACAGAAGCATTCTCAGAAACTGCTTGGTGATGTGTGCATTCAACTCACAGAGTTGAAACTTTCTTTTGAGAATGCAGTTTTGAAACAGTCTTCTTGTAGTATCTGCAAGTGGATATTTGGAGCGATTTGAGGCCTATGATGGAAAAGGAAATATGTTCACATACAAACTAGACACAAGCGTTCTGAGAAACTGCTTTGTGATGTGTGCATTCACCTCACAGAGTGGAACCTTTCTTTGGATAGAGCAGTTTTGAAACAGTCTTTCTCTAGTATCTGCAAGTGTTCATTTTGAGCGCTTTGAGGCCCATGATGGAAAAGGAAATATTTTCACATAAAAACTAGACAGAAGCTTTCTCAGGAATTTCATTGAGATGTGTGCATTAAGGTAACTGATTTGAATACGTCTTTTGATAGAGCAGTATTGAAACACTTCTTTTGTATAATCTGCCTGTGGATATCTGGAACTCTTTGAAGAATTCTTTGGAAACGCTATCTTCACATAAAAACTAGACCCAAGCATTCTCAGAAAGTTCTTTGTGATATGTACATTGGACTCCCAGACTTGAACATTTCTTTTGATAGAGCAGTGTTGGAACACACTTTTTGTAGAATCTTCATGTGTTCGTTTGGAGTGCTTTGTTGCCTATGGTGGAAAAAGGAATATCTTCACCTAAAAACCAGACAGAAGCATTCTCAGAGACTGCTTTGTGATGTGTGTGTTCAATTCGCTGAGTTGAATGTTCCTTTTGATAGAGCAGTTTTGAAACACTGCTTTTGTAGAATCTGCTTGTTGATATTGGGGGCTCTATGAGGAATTTGTTGTAAACGGGATATCTTCACATACAAAGTAGACAGAAGCATTCTCAGAAACTGCTCTGTGATGTGTGCATTCAACTCACAGAGTTGAACCTTCCTTTTGCGAGAGCTGTTTTGAAGCAGTCTTTTTGTGGTGTCTGCAATTGGATATTTGGATCGATTTGAGGCCTAAGATGGAAAAGGAAATATCTTCACATGCAAACTAGACAGAAGCGTTCTCAGACACTGCGTTGTGATGTGTGCATTCAACTCACAGAGTTGAACCTTCCTTTTGAGAGCAGTTTTGAAACAGTCTTTTTGAAGTATCTGCAAGTGGATGTTTGGAGAGATTTGAGGCCTAAGATGGAAAAGGATATACCTTCACCTAAAAACTAGGCAGAAGCATTCTCAGAAACTGCTTTGTGATGTGGGGATTCAACTCACAGACTTGAAACTTTCTTTTGATAGAGCAGTGTTGAAACACACTTTTTGTAGAATCTGCAAGTGTTCATTTGGAGTGCTTTCTTCCCCATGGTGGAAAAAGAAATATCTTCACCTAAAAACTAGACAGAAACATTCTCAGAAAATACTTTGTGATGTGGTTGTTCAATTCACAGGGTTGAACCTTTCTTTAGATAAAGCAGTTTTGAAACACTGCTTTTGTAGAATCTTCTTGTGGATATTTGGAGCTGTTTGAGGAATTCGTTTTAAACGGGATATCTTCACATTCAAACTAGTCAGAAGCATCCTCAGAAACTGGTTTGTGATGTGTGCATTCTACTCACAGAGTTGAACCTTCCTTTTGAGAGAACAGTTTTGAAACAATCTTTTTGTACTATCTGCAAGTGGATATTTGGAACAATGGGAGGACTAAGATGGAAAAGGAAATATCTTCACAGCCAAACTTGACAGAAGCTTTCTCAGAATCTGCTTTGTGATGTGTGCATTCACCTCACAGAGTGGAACCGTCCTTTTGATAGAGCAGTTCTGAAACAGTCTTTTTGTAGGATCTGCGAGTGTTCATTCTGGTGCGCTTTTAAGCCTTTGGCGGAAAAGGAAATATCTTCACAAAAAACTAGACAGAGGCATGCTCAGGAACTTCATTGAGATGTGTGCATTCAAGTAACTGAGTTGAATCTGCCTTTTGATAGAGCAGAATTGAAACACTCCTTTTGTAGAATATGCTTGTGGATATTTGGAACTCTTTCAGGAATTCGTTGGAAGCTGGTATCTTCACAAAAAAAGGAAACCCAGGCATTCTCAAAAAGTTGTTTGAGATGTGTGCCTTAAACTCACAGACTTCAAACTTTCTTTTGAGAGATCAGTGCTGGAACACGCTTTTTGTAGAATCTGCAAGTGTTCATTTAGTGCGCTTTGTTGCCTATGGTGGAAAAAGAAATATCTTCAAATGAAAACTAGACAGAAACATTCTCAGAAACTCCTTTGTGAAGTGTGTGTCAAATTCACAGAATAGAAATTTTCTTTTGACAGAGCAGTTTTGAAACACCGCTTTTATAGGATCTGCTTGTGGATATTTGGAGCTCTTTGAGGATTTCGTTGTAAACGGGATATCTTCACATACAAACTAGGGAGAAGCATTCTCAGAAACTGCTTAGTGATGTGTGCATTCAACTCACAGACTTGAACCTTTCTCTTGAAAGAGCAGTGTTGAAACACACATTTTGTAGGATGTGCAAGTGTTCACTTGGAGCGTTTTTTTGCCTATGGTGGATAAAGAAATATCTTCACATACAAACTAGACAGAAGCAATCTCATTTACTGCTTTGTGATGTGTGCATTCAGCTCACAGAGTTGAACCTTCCTTTTGAGAGAGCAGTTTTGAAACAGTTTTTTGTAGTATCCTCAAGTGGATATATGGAGCGATGTGAGGCTTAACATGGAAACGGGAATATCTTCACATAGAAACTAGATAGAAGCATTCTCAGAAACTCCTTTGTGATGGGTGCATTCAACACAGAGACTTGAACATTTCTTTAGACGGAGCAGTGTTGAAACACACATTTGTAGAATCTGCAAGTGTTCATTTGGAGCGCTTTGATGCCTATGGTGGAAAAAGAAATATCTTCACATAAAGACTAGAAAGAAGCGTTCTCCGAAACTCCTTTGTGATATGTGTGTTCAATTCACAGAGTTGAACCTTTCTTTTCATTGAGCAGTTTTGAAAAACTGCTTTTCTAGAATCTGCTTGTGGATATTTGGAGCTCTTTGAGGAATTCATTGTCAATGGGATATCTTCATATACAAACTAGCCAGAAGCATTCTCAGAAACTGCTTTGTGATGTGTGCATTCAACACACGGAGTTGAACCTTCCTTCTGAGAGAACAGTTTTCAAACAGTCTTTTTGTAGTATCTGCAAGTCGCTATTTGGAACGCTATGAGGCCTATGAGGGAAAAGGAACTATCTTCACATACAAACTAGACAGAAGCATTCTCAGAAACTGCTTTGTGATGTGTGTGTTCAATTCACAGGGTTGACTCTTTCTTTTGATTGAGCAGTTTTGAACCACCTGTTTTGTAGAATCTGCTTGTGGATATTTGTAGCTCCTTGGAGGAATTCTTTGTAAAAGGGATATCTTCAAATACACACTAGTCAGAAGCATTCTCAGAAACTTCTTTGTGATGTGTGAATTGAACTCACAGTGTTGAACCTTCCTTTTGAGAGAGCCGTTTTCAAACAATCTTTTTGAAGTATCTTCAATTGGAAGTTTGTAGTGATTTGAGGCCTAAGACGGAAAAGGAAATATCTTCACATACAATCTAGACACAAGCACTCTCAGAAGCTGCTTGGTGATGTCTGCATTCAACGCACAGACTTGAAACCTTGTTTTGAAAGAGCAGTGTTGAAACACACATTTTGTACGATCTGCAAGTTTTCATTTGGAGCGCTTTTGTGCCTATGGTGGATAAAGAAATATCTTCACATAAATACTAGACAGAAGCATTCTCAGAAACTGCTTTGTGATGTGTGCATTCAACTCACAGAGTTGAACCTTCCTTTTGAGAGAGAGGTTTTGAAGCAGTCTTTTTGTAGTATCTGCAAGTGGATATTTGGAGCGATTTGAGGCCTATGATGGAAAAGGAAATATGTTCACATACAAACTAGACAGAAGCATTCTCAGAAACTGCTTTGTGATGTGTGCATTAAACTTACACACTTGAAACTTTATTTTGATAGAGCAGTGTTGAAACACACTTTTTATAGAATCTGCAAGTGTTCATTTGGAGAGCTTTGTTGCCTGTGGTGGAAAAAGGAATATGTTCACATAGAAACTAGAAAGAAGCATTCTCAGAAACTCCTTTTCGATGTTTGTGTCCAATTCACAAAGTTGAACCTTTCTTTTGATAGAGCAGATTTGAAACACTGCTTTTGTAGACTCTGCTTGCGGATATTTGGAGGTCTTTGAGGAATGGGGCGTATGCGGGAGATCTTCACCTACAAGTTACACAGAAGCATTCTCAGAAACTGCTTTGTGATGTGCGCATTCAACTCACAGAGTTGAAACTTTCTTTTGAGAAAGCAGTTTTGAAACAGTCTTTTTATAGTATCTGCAAGTGGATATTTGCAGCGATTTGAGGCCTATGATGGAAAAGGAAATATGTTCACATACAAACTAGACAGAAGAGTTCTCAGAAACTGCTTTGTGATGTGTGCATTCACCTCACAGAGTGGAACCGTTCTTTGGATAGAGCAGTTTTGAAACAGTCTTTCTCTAGTATCTGCAAGTGTTCATTTTGAGCGCTTTGAGGCCCATGATGGAAAAGGAAATATTTTCACATAAAAACTAGACAGAAGCTTTCTCAGGAACTTCATTGAGATGTGTGCATTAAAGTAACTGAGTGGAATACGTCTTTTGATAGAGCAGTATTGAAACACTTCTTTTGTAGAATCTGCCTGTGGATATCTGGAACTCTTTGAAGAATTCTTTGGAAACGGCTATCTTCACATAAAAAGTAGACCCAAGCATTCTCAGAAAGTTCTTTGTGATATGTACATTGGACTCCCAGACTTGAACCTTTCTTTTGATAGAGCAGTGCTGGAACACACTTTTTGTAGAATCTTCATGTGTTCGTCTGGAGTGCTTTGTTGCCTATGGTAGAAAAAGGAATATCTTCACCTAAAAACAAGACAGAAGCATTCTCCGAGACTGCTTTGTGATGTGTGTGTTCAATTCGCAGAGTTAAAAGTTCCTTTTGATAGAGCAGTTTTGAAACACTGCTTTTGTAGAATCTGCTTGTTGCTATTGGGGGCTCTTTGAGGAATTTGTTGTAAACGGGATATCTTCACATACAAAGTAGACAGAAGCATTCTCAGAAACTGCTCTGTGATGTGTGCATTCAACTCACAGAGTTGAACCTTCCTTTTGCGAGAGCTGTTTTGAAGCAGTCTTTTTGTGGTATCTGCAATTGGATATTTGGATCGATTTGAGGCCTAAGATGGAAAAGGAAATATCTTCACATACAAACTAGACAGA
>NC_000005.10:47061388-47069162 GCF_000001405.40 Homo sapiens
GTTTAATGCACACATCACAAAGCAGTTTCTGAGAATGCTTCTGTCTAGTTTGTAGGTGAAGGTATTTCCTTTTCCATCTTAGACCTCAAATCACCAAAAATATCCACCTGTACATACTACAAAAAGACTGTTTCAAAACGTCTCTCTCAAAAGGAAGGTTCAACTCTGTGAGTTGAATGCACACATCACACAGCAGTTTCTGAGCATGCTTCTGTCTAGTTTGTATGTGAAGATAGTTCCTTTTCCCTCATAGGCCTCAAATCGTTCCAAATATCGACTTGCAGATACTACAAAAAGACTGTTTGAAAACCGTTCTCTCAGAAGGAAGGTTCAACTCCGTGTGTTGAATGCACACATCACAAAGCAGTTTCTGAGAATGCTTCTGTCTAGCTTGTACGTGAAGATAGTTCCTTTTCCCTCATAGGTCCCAAATCGTTCCAAATATCGACTTGCAGATACCACAAAAAGACTGCTTCAAAACTGTTCTCAGAAGGAAGGTTCAACTCCGTGTGTTGAATGCACACATCAAAAAGCAGTTTCTGAGAATGCTTCTGTCTAGTTTGTATGTGAAGATATAACATTGACAGTGAATTCGTCAAAGAGCTTCAAATATCCAAAAGCAGATTCTAGAAAAGCAGTGTTTCAAAACTGCTCAATCAAAAGAAAGGTTCAACTCTGTGAACTGAACACATATATCACAAAGGAGTTTCGGAGAACGCTTCTTTCTAGTCTTTATGTGAAGATATTTCTTTTTCCACCATAGGCATCAAAGCGCTCCAAATGAACTCTTGCAAATTCTACAAATGTGTGTTTCAACACTGCTCCGTCTAAAGAAATGTTCAAGTCTCTGAGTTGAATGCACCCATCACAAAGCAGCCTTCTGAGAATGCTTCTATCTAGTTTGTATGTGCAGATATTCCCGTTTCCATCTTAAGCCTCACATCGCTCCATATATCCACTTGAGGATACTACAAAAAACTGTTTCAAAACTGCTCTCTCAAAAGGAAGGTTCAACTCTGTGAGCTGAATGCACACGTCCCAAACCAATTAATGAGATTGCTTCTGTCTAGTTAGCATGTGAGGATATTTCCTTTTCAATCTTAGACTTCCCATCACTCCAAGTATCCACTTGCAGATATTACACACAGACTGTTTAAAAACTGCTCTCTCGGAAGGAAGGTTCAACTCTGTGAGTTGAATGCACACACCACAAAGCAGTTTCTGAGAATGCTTCTGTCTAGTTTGTATGTGAAGATATTTCCTTTTCCATCTTAGGCCTCAAATCGATCCAAATATCCAATTGCAGATACCACAAAAAGACTGCTTCAAAACAGCTCTCGCAAAAGGAAGGTTCAACTCTGTGAGTTGAATGCACACATCACAGAGCAGTTTCTGAGAATGCTTCTGTCTACTTTGTATGTGAAGATATCCCGTTTACAACAAATTCCTCAAAGAGCCCCCAATAGCAACAAGCAGATTCTACAAAAGCAGTGTTTCAAAACTGCTCTATCCAAAGCAACTTTCAACTCTGCGAATTGAACACACACATCACAAAGCAGTCTCTGAGAATGCTTCTGTCTGGTTTTTAGGTGAAGATATTCCTTTTTCCACCATAGGCAACAGAGCACTCCAAACGAACACATGAAGATTCTACAAAAAGTGTGTTCCAACACTGCTCTATCAAAAGAAAGTTTCAAGTCTGGGAGTCCAATGTACATGTCACAAAGAACGTTCTGTGAATGCTTGGGTCTACTTTTTATGTGAAGATAGCCGTTTCCAAAGAATTCTTCAAAGAGTTCCAGATATCCACAGGCAGATTCTACAAAAGAAGTGTTTCAATACTGCTCTATCAAAAGACGTATTCAACTCAGTTACTTTAATGCACACATCTCAATGAAGTTCCTGAGAAAGCTTCTGTCTAGTTTTTATGTGAAAATATTTCCTTTTCCATCATGGGCCTCAAAGCGCTCAAAATGAACACTTGCAGATACTAGAGAAAGACTGTTTCAAAACTGCTCTATCCAAAGAAAGGTTCCACTCTGTGAGGTGAATGCACACATCACAAAGCAGTTTCTCAGAACGCTCCTGTCTAGTTTGTATGTGAACATATTTCCTTTTCCATCATAGGCCTCAAATCGCTCCAAATATCCACTTGCAGATACTACAAAAAGACTGTTTCAAAACTGCTTTCTCAAAAGAAAGTTTCAACTCTGTGAGTTCAATGCACATATCACAAAGCAGTTTCTGAGAATGCTTCTGTGTAACTTGTATGTGAAGATCTCCCGTATACGCCCAATTCCTCAAAGACCTCCAAATATCCGCAAGCAGATTCTCCAAAGGCAGTGTTTCAAATCTGCTGTATCAAAAGAAAGGTTCAACTTTGTGAATTGGACACAAACATCACAAAGGAGTTTCTGAGAATGCTTCTTTCTAGTTTCTATGTGAACATATTCCTTTTTCCACCACAGGCAACAAAGCTCTCCAAATGAACACTTGCAGATTCTATAAAAAGTGTGTTTCAACACTGCTCTATCAAAATAAAGTTTCAAGTGTGTAAGTTTAATGCACACATCACAAAGCAGTTTCTGAGAATGCTTCTGTCTAGTTTGTAGGTGAAGGTATTTCCTTTTCCATCTTAGACCTCAAATCACTAAAAATATCCACTTGCAGATACTACAAAAAGACTGTTTCAAAACCTCTCTCTCAAAAGGAAGGTTCAACTCTGTGAGTTGAATGCACACATCACAAAGCAGTTTCTGAGAATGCTTCTGTCTAGTATTTATGTGAAGATATTTCTTTATCCACCATAGGCACAAAAGCGCTCCAAATGAACACTTGCAGATCGTACGAAATGTGTGTTTCAACACTGCTCTTTCAAAACAAGGTTTCAAGTCTGTGAGTTGAATGCAGACATCACCAAGCAGCTTCTGAGAGTGCTTCTGTCTAGATTGTATCTGAAGATATTTCCTTTTCCATCTTAGGCCTCAAATCACTACAAACATCCAATTGAAGATACTTCAAAAAGATTGTTTCAAAACGGCTCTCTCAAAAGGAAGGTTCAACTCTGTGAGTTCAATTCACACATCACAAAGAAGTTTCTGAGAATGCTTCTGACTAGTGTGTATGTGAAGATATCCCTTTTACAAAGAATTCCTCCAAGAGCTACAAATATCCACAAGCAGATTCTACAAAACAGGTGGTTCAAAACTGCTCAATCAAAAGAAAGAGTCAACCCTGTGAATTGAACACACACATCACAAAGCAGTTTCTGAGAATGCTTCTGTCTAGTTTGTAAGTGAACATATTTCCTTTTCCATCATAGGCCTCAAATCGCTCCAAATATCCACTTGCAGATACTACAAAAAGACTGTTTCAGAACTGCTTTCTCAAAAGAAAGTTTCAACTCTGTGAGTTGAATGCACACATCACAGAGCAGTTTCTGAGAATGCTTCTGTGTAATTTGTATGTGAAGATATCCCGTATACGCCCAATTCCTCAAAGACCTCCAAATACACGCAAGCAGATTCTACAAAAGCAGTGTTGCAAATCTGCTCTATCAAAAGAAAGGTTCAACTTTGTGAATTAGACACAAACATCTCAAAGGAGTTTCTGAGAAGGCTTCTTTCTAGTTTGTATGTGAACACATTTCTTTTTCCACCACAGGCAACAAAGCTCTCCAAATGAACACTTGCAGATTCTATAAAAAGTGTGTTTCAACACTGCTATATCAAAATAAGGTTTCAAGTCTGTAAGTTTAATGCACACATCACAAAGCAGTTTCTGAGAATGCTTCTGTCTAGTTTGTAGGTGAAGGTATTTCCTTTTCCATATTAGACCTCAAATCACTAAAAATATCCACTTGTATATACTACAAAAAGACTGTTTCAAAACCTCTCTCTCAAAAGGAAGGTTCAAATCTGTGAGTTGAATGCACACATCACAAAGCAGTTTCTGAGCATGCTTCTGTCTAGTTTGTATGTTAAGATAGTTCCTTTTCCCTCATAGGCCCCAAATCGTACCAAATATCGACTTGCAGATACTACAAAAAGACTGTTTGAAAACCGTTCTCTCAGAAGGAAGGTTCAACTCCGTGTGTTGAATGCACACATCACAAAGCAGTTTCTGAGAATGCTTCTGTCTAGTTTGTATGTGAAGATATCCCATTGACAGCGAATCCCTCAAAGAGCTCCAAACATCCACAAGCAGATTCTAGAAAAGCAGTGTTTCAAAACTGCTCAAACAAAAGAAAGGTTCAACTCTGTGAACTGAACACACATATCACAAAGAGTTTCGGAGAACGCTTCTTTCGAGTCTTTATGTGAAGATATTTCTTTTTCCACCATAGGCATCAAAGCGTTCCAAATGAACTCTTGCAGATTCTACAAATGTGTGTTTCAACACTGCCCCGTCTAAAGAAATGTTCAAGTCTCTGAGTTGAATGCACCCATCACAAAGCAGTTTCTGAGAATGCTTCTATCTAGTTTGTATGTGCAGATATTCCCGTTTCCATCTTAAGCCTCACATCGCTCCATATATCCACTTGAGGATACTACAAAAAACTGTTTCAAAACTGCTCTCTCAAAAGGAAGGTTCAACTCTGTGAGCTGAATGCACACATCACAAAGCAGTTAATGAGATTGCTTCTGTCTAGTTTGCATGTGAGGATATTTCCTTTTCAATCTTAGACTTCCCATCGCTCCAAGTATCCACTTGCAGATATTTCAAAGAGACTGTTTAAAAACTGCTCTCTCAGAAGGAAGGTCCAACTCTGTGAGTTGAATGCACACACCACAAAGCAGTTTCTGAGAATGCTTGTGTCTAGTTTGTATGTGAAGATATCCCATTTACAACGAATTCCTCAAAGAGCTCCAAATATCCACAAGCAGATTCTACAAAAGCAGTGTTTCAAAACTGCTTTATCTAAAGAAAGTTTCAACCCTGTGAATTGAACAACTACATCACAAAGTATTTTCTGAGAATGTTTCTGTCTAGTTTTTACGTGAAGATATTTCTTTTTCCACCATGGGCAAGAAAGCACTCCAAATGAACACTTGCAGATTCTACAAAAAGTATGTTTCAACCCTGCTGTATCAAAAGAAAGTTTCAAGCCTGTGAGTTGAATCCCCACATCACAAAGCAGTTTCTGAGAATGCTTCTGCCTAGTTTTTAGGTGAAGATATATCCTTTTCCATCTTAGGCCTCAAATCTCTCCAAACATCCACTTGCAGATACTTCAAAAAGACTGTTTCAAAACTGCTCTCAAAAGGAAGGTTCAACTCTGTGAGTTGAATGCACACATCACAACGCAGTGTCTGAGAATGCTTCTGTCTAGTTTGTATGTGAAGATATTTCCTTTTCCATCTTAGGCCTCAAATCGATCCAAATATCCAATTGCAGATACCACAAAAAGACTGCTTCAAAACAGCTCTCGCAAAAGGAAAGTTCAACTCTGTGAGTTGAATGCACACAACACAGAGCAGTTTCTGAGAATGCTTCTGTCTACTTTTTATGTGAAGATATCCCGTTTACAACAAATTCCTCAAAGAGCCCCCAGTAGCAACAAGCAGATTCTACAAAAGCAGTGTTTCAAAACTGCTCTATCCAAAGCAACTTTCAACTCTGCGAATTGAACACACACATCACAAAGCAGTCTCTGAGAATGCTTCTGTCTGGTTTTTAGGTGAAGATATTCCTTTTTCCACCATAGGCAACAGAGCACTCCAAACGAACATATGAAGATTCTACAAATGTGTGTTCCAACACTGCTGTATCAAAAGAAAGGTTCAAGTCTGGGAGTCCAATGTACATATCACAAAGAACTTTCTGAGAATGCTTGGGTCTACTTTTTATGTGAAGATAGCCGTTTCCAAAGAATTCTTCAAAGAGTTCCAGATATCCACAGGCAGATTCTACAAAAGAAGTGTTTCAATACTGCTCTATCAAAAGACGTATTCAACTCAGTTACTTTAATGCACACATCTCAATGTAGTTCCTGAGAAAGCTTCTGCCTAGCTTTTATGTGAAAATATTTCCTTTTCAATCATGGGCCTCAAAGCGCTCAAAATGAACACTTGCAGATAATAGAGAAAGACTGTTTCAAAACTGCTCTATTCAAAGAACGGTTCCACTCTCTGAGGTGAATGCACACATCACAAAGCAGTTTCTGAGAACGTTTCTGTCTAGGTTGTATGTGAACGTATTTCCTTTTCCATCATAGGCCTCAAATCGCTCCAAATATCCCCTGGCAGATACTACAGAAAGACTGTTTCAATACTGCTTTCTCAAGAGAAAGTTTCAACTCTGTGAGTTGAATGCACACATCACAAAGCAGTTTCTGAGAATGCTTCTGTGTAACTTGTATGTGAAGATCTCCCATATACGCCCAATTCCTCAAAGACCTCCAAATATCTGCAAGCAGATTCTACAAAAGCAGTGTTTCAAATCTGCTCTATCAAAAGAAAGGTTCAACTTTGTGAATTGGACACAAACATCACAAAGGAGTTTCTGAGAATGCTTCTTTCTAATTTCTATGTGAACATATTCCTTTTTCCACCACAGGCAACAAAGCTCTCCAAATGAACACTTGCAGATTCTATAAAAAGTGTGTTTCAATACTGCTCTATCAAAATAAAGTTTCAAGTCTGTAAGTTAAATGCACACATCACAAAGCAGTTTCTGAGAATGCTTCTGTCTAGTTTGTAGGTGAAGGTATTTCCTTTTCCATCTTAGACCTCAAATCACTAAAAATATCCACTTGCAGATACTACAAAAAGACTGTTTCAAAACCTCTCTCTCAAAAGGAAGGTTCAACTCTGTGAGTTGAATGCACACATCACAAAGCAGTTTCTGAGAATGCTTCTGTCTAGTATTTATGTGAAGACATTTCTTTATCCACCATAGGCACAAAAGCGCTCCAAATGAACACTTGCAGATCGTACAAAATGTGTGTTTCAACACTGCTCTTTCAAAACAAGGGTTCAAGTCTGTGAGTTAAATGCAGACATCACCAAGCAGCTTCTGAGAGTGCTTCTCTCTAGATTGTATGTGAAGATATTTCCTTTTCCATCTTAGGACTCAAATCACTAGAAACATCCAATTGAAGATACTTCAAAAAGATTGTTTCAAAACGGCTCTCTCAAAAGGAAGGTTCAACTCTGTGAGTTCAATTCACATATCACAAAGAAGTTTCTGAGAATGCTTCTGACTAGTGTGTATGTGAAGATCTCCCTTTTACAAAGAATTCCTCCAAGAGCTACAAATATCCACAAGCAGATTTTACAAAACTGGTGGTTCAAAACTGCTCAATCAAAAGAAAGAGTCAACCCTGTGAATTGAACACACACATCAC
Organism: Homo sapiens; assembly: GCF_000001405.40. NCBI lineage: Eukaryota > Metazoa > Chordata > Mammalia > Primates > Hominidae > Homo > Homo sapiens. The sequence continues at coordinate 47,068,737 of NC_000005.10, forward strand.
AAAGCAGTATCTGAGAATGCTTCTGTCTAGTTTGTATGTGCACATATTTCCTTTTCCATCATAGGCCTCAAATCGCTCCAAATATCCACTTGCAGATACTACAAAAAGACTGTTTCAGAACTGCTTTCTCAAAAGAAAGTTTCAACTCTGTGAGTTGAATGCACACATCACAGAGCAGTTTCTGAGAATGCTTCTGTGTAATTTGTATTTGAAGATATCCCGTATACGCCCAATTCCTCAAAGCCCTCCAAATACACGCAAGCAGATTCTACAAAAGCAGTGTTTCAAATCTGCTCTATCAAAAGAAAGGTTCAACTTTGTGAATTGGACACAAACATCTCAAAGGAGTTTCTGAGAAGGCTTCTTTCTAGTTTGTATGTGAACACATTTCTTTTTCCACCACAGCAACAAAGCTCTCCAAATGAA
>NC_000005.10:47073730-47078603 GCF_000001405.40 Homo sapiens
TCCTTTTCCATCTTAGGCCTCAAATCTCTCCAAACATCCACTTGCAGATACTTCAAAAAGACTGTTTCAAAACTGCTCTCAAAAGGAAGGTTCAACTCTGTGAGTTGAATCACACATCACAACGCAGTGTCTGAGAATGCTTCTGTCTAGTTTGTATGTGAAGATATTTCCTTTTCCATCTTAGGCCTCAAATCGATCCAAATATCCAATTGCAGATACCACAAAAAGACTGCTTCAAAACAGCTCTCGCAAAAGGAAGGTTCAACTCTGTGAGTTGAATGCACACATCACAGAGCAGTTTCTGAGAATGCTTCTGCCTACTTTGTATGTGAAGATATCCCGTTTACAACAAATTCCTCAAAGAGCCCCCAATAGCAACAAGCAGATTCTACAAAAGCAGTGTTTCAAAACTGCTCTATCAAAAGCAACTTTCAACTCTGCGAATTGAACACACACATCACAAAGCAGTCTCTGAGAATGCTTCTGTCTGGTTTTTAGGTGAAGATATTCCTTTTTCCACCATAGGCAACAGAGCACTCCAAACGAACACATGAAGATTCTACAAAAAGTGTGTTCCAACACTGCTCTATCAAAAGAAAGGTTCAAGTCTGGGAGTCCAATGTACATATCACAAAGAACTTTCTGAGAATGCTTGGGTCTACTTTTTATGTGAAGATAGCCGTTTCCAAAGAATTCTTCAAAGAGTTCCAGATATCCACAGGCAGATTCTACAAAAGAAGTGTTTCAATACTGCTCTATCAAAAGACGTATTCCACTCAGTTACTTTAATGCACACATCTCAATGAAGTTCCTGAGAAAGCTTCTGTCTAGTTTTTATGTGAAAATATTTCCTTTTCCATCATGGGCCTCAAAGCGCTCAAAATGAACACTTGCAGATACTAGAGAAAGACTGTTTCAAAACTGCTCTATCCAAAGAACGGTTCCACTCTGTGAGGTGAATGCACACATCACAAAGCAGTTTCTCAGAACGCTTCTGTCTAGTTTGTATGTGAACATATTTCCTTTTCCATCATAGGCCTCAAATCGCTCCAAATATGCACTTGCAGATACTACAGAAAGACTGTTTCAGAACTGCTTTCTCAAAAGAAAGTTTCAACTCTGTGAGTTGAATGCACACATCACAAAGCAGTTTCTGAGAATGCTTCTGTGTAACTTGTATGTAAAGATCTCCCGTATACGCCTAATTCCTCAAAGACCTCCAAATATCCGCAAGCAGATTCTACAAAAGCAGTGTTTCAAATATGCTCTATCAAAAGAAAGGTTCAACTTTGTGAATTGGACACAAACATCTCAAAGGAGTTTCTGAGAATGCTTGTTTCTAGTTTGTATGTGAACACGTTTCTTTTTCCACCTCAGGCAACAAAGCTCTCCAAATGAACACTTGCAGATTCTATGAAAAGTGTGTTTCAACACTGCTCTATCAAAATATGGTTTCAAGTCTGTAAGTTTAATACACACATCACAAAGCAGTTTCTGAGAATGCTTCTGTCTAGTTTGTAGGTGAAGGTATTTCCTTTTCCATCTTAGACCTCAAATCACTAAAACTATCCACTTGTATATACTATAAAAATATTGTTTCAAAACCTCTCTCTCAAAAGGAAGGTTCAACTCTGTGAGTTGAATGCACACATCACAAAGCAGTTTCTGAGCATGCTTCTGTCTAGTTTGTATGTGAAGATAGTTGCTTTTCCCTCATAGGCCTCAAATCGTTCCAAATATCGACTTGCAGATACTACAAAAAGACTGTTTGAAAACTGTTCTCTCAGAAGGAAGGTTCAACTCCGTGTGTTGAATGCATACATCACAAAGCAGTTTCTGAGAATGCTTCTGTCTAGGTTGTAGGTGAAGGTATTTCCTTTTCCATCTTAGACCTCAAATCCCTAAAAATATCCACTTGTATATACTACAAAAAGACTGTTTCAAAACCTCTCTCTCAAAAGGAAGGTTCAACTCTGTGAGTTGAATGCACACATCACAAAGCAGTTTCTGAGCATGCTTCTGTCTAGTTTGTATGTGAAGATAGTTCCTTTTCCCTCATAGACCTCAAATCGTTCCAAATATCGACTTGCAGATACTACAAAAAGACTGTTTGAAAACTGTTCTCTCAGAAGGAAGGTTCAACTCCGTGTGTTGAATGCACACATCACAAAGCAGTTTCTGAGAATGCTTCTGACTAGTTTGAATGTGAAGGTATCCTCTTTAAAACGAATTCCTCAAACAGCTTCAAATATCCACAAGAAGATTCTACAAAAGCAGTGTTTCCAAACTGCTTTATCTAAAGAAAGGTTCAACCCTGTGAATTGAACAACTACATCACAAAGTATTTTCTGAGAATGTTTCTGCCTAGTTCTTACGTGAAGATATTTCTTTTTCGACCATGGACAAGAAAGCACTCCAAATGAACACTTGGAGATTCTACAAAAAGTGTGTTTCAACACTGCTCTATCAAAGGAAAGTCTCAAGTCTGTGAGTTGAATCCCCACATCACAAAGCAGTTTCTGAGAATTCTTCTGCCTAGTTTTTACGTGAAGATATATCCTTTTCCCTCTTAGGCCTCAAATCTCTCCAAACATCCATTTGCAGATACTTCAAAAAGACTGTTTCAAAACTGCTCTCAAAAGGAAGGTTCAACTCTGTGAGTTGAATGTACACATCACAACGCAGTGTCTGAGAATGCTTCTGTCTAGTTTGTATGTGAAGATATTTCCTTTTCCATCTTAGGCCTCAAATCGATCCAAATATTCAATTGCAGATACCACAAAAAGACTGCTTCAAAACAGCTCTCGCAAAAGGAAGGTTCAACTCTGTGATTCCAATGCACACATCACAGAGCAGTTTTTGAGAATGCTTCTGTCTACTTTGTATGTGAAGATATCCCGTTTACAACAAATTCCTCAAAGAGCCCCCAATAGCAACAAGCAGATTCTACAAAAGCAGTGTTTCAAAACTGCTCTATCAAAATCAACTTTCAACTCTGCGAATTGAACACACACATCACAAAGCAGTCTCTGAGAATGCTTCTGTCTGGTTTTTAGGTGAAGATATTTCTTTTTCCACCATAGGCAACAAAGCACTCCAAACGAATACATGAAGATTCTACAAAAAGTGTGTTCCAACACTGCTCTATCAAAAGAAAGGTTCAAGTCTGGGAGTCCAATGTCCATATGACAAAGAACTGTCTGAGAATGTTTGGGTCTACTTTTTATGTGAAGATAGCCGTTTCCAAAGAATTCTTCAAAGAGTTCCAGATATCCACAGGCAGATTCTACAAAAGAAGTGTTTCCATACTGCTCTATCAAAAGACGTATTCAACTCAGTTACTTTAATGCACACATCTCAATGAAGTTCCTGAGAAAGTTTCTGTCTACTTTTTATGTGAAAATATTTCCTTTTCCATCATGGGCCTCAAAGCGCTCAAAATGAACACTTGCACATACTAGAAAAAGACTGTTTTAAAACTGCTCTATCCAAAGAATGGTTCCACTCTGTGAGGTGAATGCACACATCACAAAGCAGTTTCTGAGAACGCTTCTGTCTAGTTTGTAGGTGAAGATATTTCCTTTTCCTTCATAGGCCTCTAATCGCTCCAAATATCCACAAGCAGATTCTTCCAAATGTGTGTTTCAACACTGCTCTATCAAAAGAAAGGTTCAAGTCTGTGAGTTGAATGCACACATCACAAAGCAGTTCCTGAGAACGCTTCTGTCTAGTTTGTATGTGAAGATATCCCGTTTACAACGAATTCCTCAAAGAGCTCCAAATATCCACAAGCAGATTCTACAAAAGCCGTGTATCAAAACTGCTCCATGAAAAGAAAGGTTCAACTCTCTGAATAGAACAAACACATCAGAAAGCAGTTTCTGAGAATGCTTCTGTCTACTATTTATGTGAAGATATTGCTTTTTCCACCATAGGCAAAAAAGCGCTCCAAGTGAACACTTGCACATCCTACAAAATGTGTGTTTCAACACTGCTCTTTCAAAAGAAAGGTTCAAGTCTGTGAGTTGAATGCACACATCACAAAGCAGTTTCTGAGAATTCTTCTGCCTAGTTTGTATGTGAAGATATCCCGTTTACAACGAAATCCTCAAAGAGCTCGAAATATCCACAAGCAGATCCTATGAAAGCGGTGTTTCAAAACTGCTCTATCAAAAGAAAATTTCAATTCTGTGAATTTGACAAACACTTCACAAAGGAGTTTCTGAGAATGTTTCTGTCTAGTTTTCATTTGAAGATATTTCTTTTTCCACCATAGGCAACAGAGCGCACTAAATGAACACTTGCAGATTCTACAAAAAGCGTGTTCCAACACTGATCTCTCAAAAGAAAGTTTGAAGTCTGTGAGTTTAAGGCACACATCTCAAACAACTTTTTGAGAATGCTTGGGTTTCCTTTTTTTGGGAAGATACCAGCTTCCAACGAATTCCTGAAAGAGTTCCAAATATCCACAAGCATATTCTACAAAAGGAGTGTTTCAATTCTGCTCTATCAAAAGGCAGATTCAACTCAGTTACTTGAATGCACACATCTCAATGAAGTTCCTGAGCATGCCTCTGTCTAGTTTTTTGTGAAGATATTTCCTTTTCCGCCAAAGGCTTAAAAGCGCACCAGAATGAACACTCGCAGATCCTACAAAAAGACTGTTTCAGAACTGCTCTATCAAAAGGACGGTTCCACTCTGTGAGGTGAATGCACACATCACAAAGCAGATTCTGAGAAAGCTTCTGTCAAGTTTGGCCGTGAAGATATTTCCTTTTCAATCTTAGTCTCCCTTTGCTCCAAGTATCCACTTGTAGAGAATACAAAAAGATTGTTTCAAAACTGCTCTCTCAAAAGGAAGGTCAACTCTGTG
>NC_000005.10:47078720-47079733 GCF_000001405.40 Homo sapiens
CGAATTCCTCAACAGCTCCAAATATCCACAAGAAGATTCTACAAAAGCAGTGTTTCAAAACTGCTTTATCTAAAGAAAGTTTCAACCCTGTGAATTGAACAACTACATCACAAAGTATTTTCTGAGAATGTTTCTGTCTAGTTTTTACGTGAAGATATTTCTTTTTCCACCATGGGCAAGAAAGCACTCCAAATGAACACTTGCAGATTCTACAAAAAGTGTGTTTCAACCCTGCTCTATCAAAAGAAAGTTTCAAGCCTGTGAGTCGAATCCTCACATCACAAAGCAGTTTCTGAGAATGCTTCTGCCTAGTTTTTAGGTGAAGATATATCCTTTTCCATCTTAGGCCTCAAATCTCTCCAAACATCCACTTGCAGATACTTCAAAAAGACTGTTTCAAAACTGCTCTCAAAAGGAAGGTTCAACTCTGTGAGTTGAATGCACACATCACAACGCAGTGTCTGAGAATGCTTCTGTCTAGTTTGTATGTGAAGATATTTCCTTTTCCATCTTAGGCCTCAAATCGATCCAAATATCCAATTGCAGATACCACAAAAAGACTGCTTCAAAACAGCTCTCGCAAAAGGAAGGTTCAACTCTGTGAGTTGAATGCACACATCACAGAGCAGTTTCTGAGAATGCTTCTGTCTACTTTGTATGTGAAGATATCCCGTTTACAACAAATTCCTCAAAGAGCCCCCAATAGCAACAAGCAGATTCTACAAAAGCAGTGTTTCAAAACTGCTCTATCAAAAGCAACTTTCAACTCTGCGAATTGAACACACACATCACAAAGCAGTCTCTGAGAATGCTTCTGTCTGGTTTTTAGGTGAAGATATTCCTTTTTCCACCATAGGCAACAGAGCACTCCAAACGAACACATGAAGATTCTACAAAAAGTGTGTTCCAACACTGCTCTATCAAAAGAAAGTTTCAAGTCTGGGAGTCCAATGTACATATCACAAGAACTGTCTGAGATGCTTGGGTCTACTTTTTATGTGAAGATAGCCGTT
>NC_000005.10:47082080-47106894 GCF_000001405.40 Homo sapiens
TGTGAAGATTTTTTTTTCCCTATAGGCAACAATGCACTCCAAATGAAACTTGCAGATTCTACAAAAAGTGTGTTTCCACACTGCTCCATCAAAAGAAAGGTTCAAGTCTGTGAGTTGAATGCACACATCACAAACAAGTTTCTGAGATGGCTTGGGACTAGTTTTTAAGTGAAGATATCCGTTTCCAATGAATTCCTCAAGGAGTTGAAAATATCCGCCAGCAGATTCTACAAAAGGAGTGTTTCAATACTGCTCTATCAAAAGAGGGATTCAACTCTTTTAGTTGAATGCACACATCTCAAGAAGTTCCTGAGAATGCTTCTATCTTGTTTTTATGTGAAGATATTTTCTTTTCTACCGTAGGCTTCAAAGCGCTCCAAAAGAACACTTGCAGATTCTTCAAAAAGACTGTTTCAAAACTGCTCTATTAAAAGAAGGGTTCCACTCTATGAGGTGAATGCACACACCACGAAGCAGATTCTGAGAATGCTTCTTTCTATTTTTTATGTGAAGATATTCCCTTTTCCATCACAAGCTTCAAATCTCTCCAAATATCCACTTGCAGATACTACAAAAAGACTGTTTCATAACTGCTCTCTCAAAAGGAAGGTTCAACTTTTTGAGTTCAGTGCGCACATCACAAAGCAGTTTCTGAGAATGCTTCTGTCTAGTTTGTATGTGTAGGTATTTCCTCTTCCATCACATGCCTCAAATCGTTCCAAATATCCACTGACAGATACTATAAAAAGACTGTTTCAAAACTGCTCTATCAAAAGGAGTGTTCAACTCTGTGAGTTGAATGCACACATCACAAATTAGTTTCTGAGAATCCTTCTGTCTACTTTTTATGTGAAGATATTCCCGTTTCCAACTGAGGCTTCAAAGCACTCCAAATATCTACTTGCATATTGTACAAAAAGAGTGTTTCAAAACTGTTCTATCAAAAGGAAGATTCAACTCTGTAAGTTGAATGCACACATCACAAGGAAGTATCTGAGAATAGTTCTATCTAGTTCTTATGTGGAGCTATTCTGGTTTCCAAGGAAGGCTTCTGACCATCAGAAATATCCACTTGCATATTCTACAAAAAGAGTGTTTCAAAACTGCTCTATTAAAAGGAAGGTTCAACTCTGTGAGTTGAATGCACACATCACAAACACTCTTCTGAGAATCCATCTGTCTTTTTTATGTGAAGATATACCCGTTTCCAATGAAGGCTTCAAAGTACTACAGTTATCCACTAGCTGATTCTACACAAAATCTGTTTCAAAACTGCTCCATCAAAAGGAAGCTTCAACTCTGTGAGTTGAATGCACACATCAAAAGGAAGTTACTGAGAATGCTTCTATCTAGTTTTTATGTGAATATATTCCCGTTTCCAATGAATTCTTCAAAGCGATCCAAATATACACTTGCAGATACTACAAAAAGAGTGTTTTAAAACTGCTCTATCAAAAGGAAGGTTCATCTCTGTGAGTTGAATGCACACATCACAAGGAAGTTTCTGACAATGCTTTTGTCTAGTTTTCATGTGAATATATTCTCGTTTCCAACGAAGGCTTCAAAGCTCTCCAAATATCCACTTGCATATTCTACAAAAAGAGTGTTTCAAAACTGCTCTATCAAAAGGAAGGTCCAACTCTGTGAGTTGAATGCACACATCAAAAAGGAGTTTCTGAGAATGCTTCTGTCAAGTTTTTATGTGGAGATATTCCCGTTTCCAATGAAGGCTTCTAACCACAAGAAATATCCACTTGAAGATTCTACAAAAAGAGTATTTCAAAACTGCTCTATCAAAAGGAAGGTTCAACTCTGGGAGTTGAATGCACACATCAAAAGTACGTTTCTGAGAATGCTTCTGTCTAGTTTTTATGTGAATATATTCCCTTTTCCAAAGAAGGCTTCAAAGCACTCCAAATATACACTTGCAGACACTACAAAAAGAGTGTTTCAAATTGCTCTATCAAAAGGTAGGTTCAACTCTGTGAGTTGAATGCACACATCACAAGGAACTTTCTGAGAATGCTTCTGTCCAGTTTTTATGTGAAGATATTCCCGTTTCCAACGAACGACACAAGCGGTCAAATTATCCCCTTGCAGATTCTACAAAAAGAGTGTTGCAAAACTGCTCTACCAAAAGAAATGTTTAACTCTCTAAGTTGAATGCAAACATCACAAGAACTTTCTGGGAATACTTCTGTCTAGTTCTTATGTGAAGATGTTTCCTTTTCCACCATAGTCCTCAAAGTGCTCCAAATGTCCACTTGCAGATTCTACAATAAGGGTGTTTCAAAACTGCTCGGTCAAAAGATAAGTTAAACTCTGTGAGTTGAATGCACACATCACAAAGTAGCTTTTGAGAATGCTTCTGTCTAGTTTTTAAGTGATGATATTACCGTTTCCAAAGAAGGCTTCAAAGCACTCCAATTATCCACTTGCAGATCCTACTAAAAGAGTGTTTCAAAACCACTCTATCAAAAGAAAGAATAAATTCTGTGAGTTGTAAGCACACATCACAAATTAGCTCCTGAGAATGCTTCTGTCTAGTTTTTATATGAAGATACTTCCTTTGCTTCAATAGGCCTGAAATCTCTCCAAATAAACAATTGCAGATTCTACCAAAGGAGTGTTTCAAAACTCCTCTTTGAACAGAAAGGTTAAACTCTGTGAGTTGAATGCCAATATCACAAAGTAGTTTCTGAGAATGTTCCAGTCTGGTATTTATGTGAAGATATTCCCGTTTCCAACGAATTCCTCAAACCTGTCAAAATATCCACTTGCAGATTCTACAAAAAGAGTGTTTCAAAACTGCTCTGTCAAAAGAAAGGTTAAAATCAGTGGGTTAAATGCACACATCAGAAACGAGTTTAAGAGTATGCTTCTTTCTAGTTGTTATACAAAGAAATTGCCTTTTCTACCTGAGGCATTAAAGGGATCCAAATATCCACGTGTAGATTCTACAAAAAGTTTGTTTCAAAACTGCTCTATCAAAAAGAGTGTTTAAAGATATGAGTTTAATGCATCCATCACAAAGTAGTTTCTGAGAATCCTTCTGACTACTTTTTATGTGAAGATATTCCCGTTTCCAACGAAGGCTTCAAAGCACTCCAAATATCCACTTGCATATTCTACAAAAAGAGTATTTCAAAACTGCTCTATCAAAAGGAAGGTTCAACTCTGTGAGTTGAATGCACACATCACAAGGAAGTGTCTGAGAATGCTTCTGTCTAGTTTTCAAGTGAATATATTCTCGTTTCCAACGAGGGCTTCCAAGCACTCCAAATATCCAACTGCAGATAGTACAAAAAAAGTGTTTCAAATGTCCTCTATCAAAAGGAATGTTCAACTCTGTGAGTTGAACTCACATCACAAGTAAGTTTCTGAGAATGCATCTGTCCAGTTTTTATGTGAAGACATTCCCGTTTCCAATGAAGGACATCAAGCGGTCAAAATATGCACTTGCAGATTCTACAAAAAGAGTGTTTCAAAACTGCTGTATTAAAAGGAAGGTTCAACACCGTGAGTTGAATGCACACATCACAAGGAAGTTTCTAAGAAAGCTTCTGTCTAGTTTTCTTGTGAATATATTCCCGTTTCCAACGAAGGCTTCAAAGCACTACAAATACACACTTGCAAATAGTACTAAAAGAGTGTTTCTAAACTGCTCTATCAAAAGGAAGGTTCAACTCTGTGAGTTGAATGCACACATCACAAGGAAGTTTCTTGGAATGCTTCTGTCCAGTTTGTATGTGAACATATTCCCGTTTCCAACGAAGGCTTCTCTCCACTAAAAATACCAACTTGCAGATTGAACAAAAAGAGTGTTTCCAAATTGCTCTATCAAAAGGAAGGTTCAACTCTCTGATTTGAGTGCACACATCACAAAGAAGTTTCTGAGAATTCAACTGTCTAATTTTTATATGAAGATATAGCCTTTTCCAATGAAGACTTCAAATTACTCTAATTAGCTACTTGCAGATTCTACAAAAAGAGTGTTTCAAAACTGCTCTATCAAAAGGGAGGTTCAACTCTGTGAGTTGAATGGACAGATCACAATGAAGTTTCTGAGAATTATTCTGTCTAGTTTTCATGTGAATATATTCCCGTTTTCAACGAAGGCTTCAAAGCACTCCAAATATACACTTGCAGATACTCTAAAAGAGTGTTTCAAAACTACTCTATCAAAAGGAAGGTTCAACTCTGTGAGTTGAATGCACACATCCCAAGGAAGTTTCTGAGAATGCTTCTGTCAAGTTTTTAATGTGAAGATATACCCGTTTCCAATGAAGGACAAAAAGCGGTCAAAATATCCACTTGCAGATTCTACAAAAAGAGTGTTTCAAAACTGCTCTAGCAAAAGAAATGTTTAACAGTGTGAGTTGAATGCAAACATCACAAAGTATTTTCTGAGAATGTTTCTGTCTAGTTTTTAGGTGAAGATATTTCCTTTTCCACCATAGCCCTCAAAGTGCTCCAAATGTCCACTTGCAGATTCTACATTAAGAGAGTTTCAAAACTTCTCTGTCAAAAGACAGGTTAACTCTGTGAGTTGAATGTACACATCACAAAGTAGTTTTTGAGAATGATTCTGTCTAGTTTTTAGGTGAAGATATTCCCGTTTCCAACGAAGGCTTCAAATCACTCCAATTATCCACTTGCAGGTCCTACAAAAAGAGTTTTTCAAAGCTGTTCTATCAAAAGAAAGGTTAAATTCTGTGAGTTGTAAGCACACAACACTATCTGGTTTCTCAGAATTCTTCTGTCTAGTTTTTATTTGAAGATATTTCTTTTTCTTCCATAGACCTCAAAGCGCTCCAAATATCCAATTGCAGATTCAACTAAAAGAGTGTTTCAAAACAGCTCTATGAAAAGAAAGGTCCAACTCTGTGAGTTGAATGCAAACATCACAAAGAAGTTTCTGAGAATGCTTCTGTCTGGTATTTATGTGATGATATTCCCTTTTCCAATGAATTCCTCAAAGCAGTCAAAATATCCACTTGGAGATTCTACAAAAATAGTGTTTCAAAACTGCTCTATCAAAAGAAAGGTTAAAATATGTGCGTTGAATGCACACATCAGAAACTAGATTATGAGAATGCTTCTTTCTAGTTTATACATAAAGAAATTTCCCTTTCTACCAGAGGACTTAAAGGGATCCAAATATTCACGTGTAGATTCTACAAAAAGAGTGTTTCAAAACTGCTCTATCAAAAGGAGTGTTCAACTCTGTGATTTGAATGCAATCATCACGAAGTAGTTTCTCAGAATCCTTCTGTCTACTTTTTAAGTGAAGATATTCCCGTTTCCAATGAAGGCTTCAAAGCACTCCAAATATCCGCTTGCATATTCTACAAAAAGAGTGCTTCAAATCTGCTCTATCAAAAGGAAGGTTCAACTCTATAAGTTGAATGCACACATCACAAAGAAGTTCCTGAGAATGCTTCTGTCTATTTTTTACGTGGAGATATTCCCGTTTCCAATGAAGGCTTCTCTCCACCAGAAATATCCAGTTGCAGATTCTACAAAAAGAGTGTTTCATTGTGAAGCCAGAAACTATTAACTGGGAACGAGAATTTCCATTTATGTATAGGTCTTTTGGCTAATATCAAATGTATAGAAAATCATTCTAAATTTTAAATATTAGTTCTATTTTTCAGACATAGTTGGTAATCTATATAAATAGCTTCAGGAATGCAGCTTAAGCTGTATTAGTAGTTTAAGAAATAAGATAACCAGACATACAGGCAAAATGTTTGCAAAAGAATATTTTTGTTTGCATCATTTTTCATACTGACAAAATTTGGATACAAAGTAAAATTCAAACAAGGAGAAAATGCATGAATGTATTATGATTAATAAAATACACACATTTAAAAATATTCACAAAGAACTTAACAAACAAATATTTATGGCAATCATTGATAAAAACAGTGTAACATTAATAAATGCAATATGACTTTTGTTATGTTAACATAAACATGCATTGAAAAAATAGATTATTTGATACATTGCTAAAAACAAAAAAACAGTGTTTCAAAACTGCTCTATCAAAAGGAAGGTTCAACTCTGTGAGTTGAATGCACCCATCACAAAGAAGTTTCTGAGAATGCAATTGTGTAGTTTTTATTTGAATATATTCCCGTTTCCAATGAAGGCTTCAAAGCACTCCAAATATACATTTGCAGATACTACAAAAAGAGTGTTTCAAAACTACTCTACAAAAGGAAGGTTCAACTCTGTGAGTTGAATGCACACATCGCAAAGAAATTTCTGAGAATGCTTCTGTCTAGTTTTTATGTGGAGATATAGCCGTTTCCAAAGAAGACTTCAAAGTTCTACAATTATCCACATGCATATTCTACAAAAAGAGTGTTTCAAAACTGCTCTATCCAAAGGAAGGTTGAACTCAGTGAGTTGAATGTACACATCAAAAGGAAGTTTCTGGGAATGCTTCAGTCTAGTTTTTATGTGAATATATTCACTTTTCCAATGAAGGCTTCAAAGCACTCCAAATATCCAATTGCAGACACTACAAAAAGAGTGTTTCAAAACTGCTCTATCAAAAGGAAGGTTCACCTCTGCGAGTTGAATGCACACATCACAAGGAAGTTTCTGAGGATGCTTCTGTCCATTTTTTATGTGAAGATATTCCCGTTTCCAACGAAGGAAACAAAGAGGTCAAAATATCCATTTGCAGATTCTACAAAAAGAGTGTTTCAAAACTGCTCTAGCAAAAGAAATGTTTAACTCTCTTAGTTGAATGCAAACATCACAAAGAAGTTTCTGAGCGTCCTTCTGTTTAGTTTTTATGTGAAGATATTTCCTTTTCCACCACAGCCCTCTAGGTGCTCCAAATGTCTACTTGCAGATTCTACAATAAGAGTGTTTCAAAACTGCTCTGTCAAAAGATAGTTAAACTCTGTAAGTTGAATGCACACATCACCAAGTAGTTTTTGAGAATTCTTCTGTCTACCTTTTAGGTGAAGATATTCCCTGTTTCCAAAGAAGGCTTCAAAGCACTCCATTATCCACTTGCAGAAATTACAAACAGAATGTTTCAAAACTGCTCTATCAAAGGAAAGTTAAATTATGTGTGTTGTAAGCACACGTCACATACTGGTTTCTGATAATGCTTCTGTGTAGTTTTTATTTAAAGATATTTGTTTTTCTACCAAAGGCCTCAAATAGCTCCAAATATCCAATTTCAGATACTACCAAAAGAGTGTTACAAAACTGCTCCATGAAAACAAATGTCCAACTCTCTGAGTTCAATGCAAACATCACAAAGAAGTTTCTGAGAATTCTTTTGTCTGGTATTTATGTGACAATATTCCCGTTTCCAATGAATTCGTCAAAGCAGTCAAAATATCCACTTGCAGAATCTACAAAAATAGTGTTTCAAAACTGCTCTATCAAAAGAAAGGTTAAAATCCGTGCGTTGAATGCACACATCAGAAACTAGATTCTGAGAATGCCTCTTTCTAATTTTTACATGAAGAAATTTCCTTTTCTACCTGAGGCCTTAAATGTATCCAAATATCCACATGTAGATTCTACAAAAAGAGGGTTTCAAAACTGCTTTATCAAAACGAGTGCAAACTCTGTGAGTTGAATGCACTCGTCACAAAGTAGTTTCTCAGAATCCTTCTGTCTACTTTTTATGTGAAGATATTCCCGTTTCCAACGAAGGCTTCAAAGCATTCCAAATATCCACCTGCATGTTCTACAAAAACAGTGTTTCAAATCTGCTCTATCAAAAGGAGGTTCAAATCTGTGAGTTGAATGCACACATCCCAAAGAAGTTTCTGAGAATGCTTCTGTCAATTTTTTCTGTGGAGATATTCCCATTTCAACGAAGGCTTCTCACCACTAGAAATATCCACTTGCACATTCTACAAAAAGAGTGTTTCCAAACTGCTCTACCAAAGGAAGGCTCAAATCTGTGAGTTGAATGCACACATCACAAAGAAATTTCTGAGAATGCTTCTGTCTAGTTTTTATGTGGAGATATTCCCATTTCCAACGAAGGCCTCTAACCACTAGTAATACCCACTTGCAGATTCTACAAAAAGAGGTTTCAAAACTGCTCTATCAAAAGAAGATTTCAACTCTCTGAGTTGAATGCACACATCACAAGGAAGTTTCTGAGAATGCTTCAGTCCAGTTTTTATGTGGAGATATTCCCGTTTCCAACGAAGGCCTCTAACCACTTGCAGATTCCACAAAAAGAGTGTTTCAAAAATGCTCTATCAAAAGGAAGGTTCAACTCTGTGAGTTGAATGCACACATCAAAAGGAAATTTCTGAGAATGCTTCTGTCTAATTTTTATGTGAATATATTCCGGTTTCCAGTGAAGGTTTCAAAGCACTCCAAAAATACACTTGCAGTTACTACAAAAAGAGTGCTTCAAAACTGCTCTATCAAAAGGAAGGTTCAACTCTGTGAGTTGAATGCACACATCGCAAGGAAGTTTCTGAGAATCCTTCCGTCCAGTTTTTATGTGAAGGTATTCCCGTTTCCAACGAAGGACACAAAGGGTCAAAATATCCACTTGCAGATTCTACAAAAAGAGTGTTTCAAATCTGCTCTAGCAAAGGAAATGTTTAACTCTCTGAGTTGAATGCAAACATCACAAAGAAGTTTCTGAGAATGCTTCTGTCTAGTTTTTATGTGAAGATATTTCCTTTTCCACCATAGCCCTCAAAGTGCTCCAAATGTCCACTTGCAGATTCTACATTAAGAGTGTTTCAAAACT
Source organism: Homo sapiens (assembly GCF_000001405.40). Taxonomy (NCBI): domain Eukaryota; kingdom Metazoa; phylum Chordata; class Mammalia; order Primates; family Hominidae; genus Homo; species Homo sapiens. The sequence continues at coordinate 47,090,836 of NC_000005.10, forward strand.
GCTCTGTCAAAAGATAGGTTAAACTCTGTGAACTGAATGCACACATCACAAAGTAGTTTTTGAGAAGGCTTCTGTCTAGTTTTTATGTGAAGATATTCCCGTTTCCAACGAAGGCTTCAAAGCACTGCAATTATCCACTTGCAGATCCTACAAAAAGAGGGTTTCTAAACTGCTTTATCAAAAGAAAGGTTAAATTCTGTGAGTTGTAAGCACACATCACAACCTGGTTTCTGAGAATGCTTCTGTCTAGTTGTTATTTGAAGATATTACTTTTTTTACAATCGGCCACAAAGCGCTCCAAATATCCAATTGCAGATTCAACTAAAAGAGTGTTTCAAAACAGCTCTATGAAAAGAAAGGTCCAACTCTGTGAGTTGAATGCAAACATCACAAAGAAGTTTCTGAGAATGCTTCTGTCTGGTATTTATGTGACGATATTCCCATTTCCAAGGAATTCCTCAAAGCAGTCAAAATATCCACTTGCAGATTCTACAAAAATAGTGTTTCAAAACTGCCCTATGAAAAGAAAGGTTAAAATCTGTGAGTTGAATGCACACATCAGAAACTAGATTATGAGAATGCTTCTTTCAAGTTTTTATATAAAGAAATTTCCTTTTCTACCAGAGGCGTTAAAAGGATCCCAATATCCACGTGTAGATTATACAAAAGAGTGTTTCAAAACTGCTCTATCAAAAGGAGAACTCATCACAAAGTAGTTTCTGAGAATCCTTCTGTCTACTTTTTATGTGAAAATATTTCCGTTTCCAACGAAGGCTTCAAAGCACTCCAAATATCCACTTGCATATTCTACAAAAAGAGTGTTTCAAATCTGCTCCATCAAAAGGAAGGTTCAACTCTGTGAGTTGAATGCACACATTACAAGGAAGTTTCTGAGAATGCTTCCGTCTATTTTTTACGTGGAGATATTCCCTTTTCCAACGAAGGCTTCTCTCCACTGGAAATATCCACTTGCAGATTATACAAAAAGTGTGTTTCCAAACTGCTCTATCAAAAGGAAGGTTCAAATCTGTGAGTTGAATGCGCACATCAGAAAGAAGTTTCTGAGAATGCTTCTGTCTAGTTTTTATGTGAGTATATTCCAGTTTCCAACGAAGGCTTCAAAGCACTCCAAATATACACTTGCAGATTCTACAAAAAGAGTGTTTCAAAACTGCTCTATCAAAAGTAAGGTTCAACTCTGTGAGTTGAATGCACACATTACAAGGGAGTTTCTGAGAATGCTTCCATCTAGTTTTTAAGTGAATATATTCCCTTTTCTAACGAAGGCTTCAAAGCACTCCATATATCCACTTGCATATACACAAAAAGAGTGTTTCAAAACTGCTCTAACAAAAGGAAGGTTCCACTCTGTGAGTGGAAAGGACACATCACAAAGAAATTTCTGAGAATGCTTCTGTCTAGTTTTTATGTGGAGATATTCCCGTTTCCAATGAAGGCCTCTAACCACTAGTAATCTCCACTTGCAGATTCTACAAAAAGAGTGTTTCAAAACTGCTCTATCAAAAGGAGATTTCAACTCTCTGAATTGAATGCACACATCACAAGGAAGTTTCTGAGAATGCTTCTGTCTAGTTTTTAATGTGAATATATTCCCGTATCCAATGGAGGCTTCAAACCACTCTAAATATCCACCTGCAGATACTACAAAAAGAGTGTTTCAAAACTGCTCTATCAAAAGGAAGTTTCAACTTCGTGAGTTGAGTGCACCTATCACAAGGAAGTTTCTGAGAATGCTTCTGTCCTGTTTTTCTGTGAAGATATTCCCGTTTCCAACGAAGGACACAAAGCGCTCAAAAAATCCAATTGCAGGTCCTACCAAAAGAGTCTTTCAATACCGCTCTATCAAAAGGAAAGTTCAACCTGTGAGATGAGTGGGCACATCATAAAAAAGTTTCTGAGAATGCATTTGTCTTGTTTTTATGTGAAGAGGTAGCCATTACCAATGAAGACTTCAAAGTACTCCAATTATCCACTTGCAGATTCAACAAAAAGAATGTTTCAAAACTGCCCTATCAAAAGGAAGGTTAAACTCTGTAAGTTGAATGCACACAACACAAAAAAGTTTCCGAGAATGCTTCTGTCTAACTTTTAGGTGAATATATTCCCATTTCCAACGAAGGATTCAAAGCACTCCAAATATACACTTGCAGATACTAGAAAAAGGGTGTTTCAAAACTGCTCTTTCAAAAGAAAGGTTCAACTCTGTGGGTTTAATGTGTGCATGACAAGGAAGCTTCTGAGAATCCTTCTGTCTAGTTTTTATGTGAATATATTCCCGTTTCCAACAAAGGCTTCAAAGAACTCAAAATACACAGTTGCAGGTACGGCAAAAAGAGTGTTTCAAAACTGCTCTATCAACAGGAAGGTTCAACTCTGTGAGTTGAATGCACACATAACAAGGAAGTTTCTGAGAATGCTTCTGTCCAGTTTTTATGTGAAGATATTCCCGTTTACAATAAAGGACACAAAGCGGTCAAAATATCCACTTACAGATTCTACAAAAAGAATGTTTCAAAACTGCTCTAACAAAAAAAAGTTCAACTCTCTGAGTTGAATGAAAACATCCCAAAGATGTTTCTTAGAATGCTTCTGCCTAGTTTTTATGTTAAGATATTTCCTTTTCCACCATAGCCATCAGAGTGTTCCAATGTCCACTTTCAGATTCTACGATGAGAGTGCTTCAAAACAGCTCTGTCAAAAGGAAGGTTCAACTCTGTGAGTTGAATGCACACATCACAAAGGAGTTTTTGAGAATGCTTCAGTCTAATTTTAGGTGAAGATATTCTCGTGTCCAACAAAGACTTCAAAGCACTCCAATTATCAAATTGCAGATTCTATAAAAAGAGTGTTTAAAACTGCTCTATCAAAAGATAGGTTAAATTCTGTGAGTTGTAAGCACACATCAAAAAGTAGTTTCTGAGAATGCTTCTGTCTAGTTTTTATATGAAAATAATTCCTTTTCCACTGTAGGCCTCAAAACGCTCCAAATATCCAATTGCTGATACTGCCAAAAGAGTGTTTTAAAACTGCTCTACGAAAAGAAAGATGCAACACTGTGAATTGAATGCAAACATCACAAAGAAGTTTCTGAAAATGTTTCTGTCTGGTATTTAAGTGAAGATATTCCCGTTTCCAACGAATTACTCAAAGCAGTCAAAATAGCCACTTGCAGATTCTACAAAAAAGAGAGTTTCAAAACTGCTCTATCAAAAGAAATGTTAAAATCTATGAGTTAAATGGACACATCAGAAGCTACTTTCTGACAATGCTTCTTTCTAGATTTTATATAAAGATACTGCCTTTTCTAAAAGAGGTCTTAAAGGGATGCAAATATTTTAAGATATTTCCTTTTCCACCATAGCCATCAAAGTGTTCCAAAGTCCACTTTCAGATTCTACAAAAAGAGTGTTTTAAAGCTGCTCTATCAAAAGGAGTGTTCAACACTGTGAGCTGAATGCACTCATCACAAAGTAGTTTCTGAGAATGCTTCTGTCTACTATTTATGTAAAGATATTCCCGTTTCCAATGAAGGCTTCAAAGCACTCCATATATACACTAGCATATTCTACAAGAAGAGTGTTTCAAAGCTGCTCTATCAAAAGGAAGGTTCAACTCTGTGAGTTGAATGCACACATCACAAAGAAGTTTCGGAGAATGCATCTGTCTTGTTTTCATGTGAATATGTAAGCGTTTCCAATGAAGACTTCAAAGTGCTCCAATTATACACTTGCAGATTCTACAAAAAGAGTGTTTCAAAACTGCTCTATCAAAAGGAAGGTTCAACTGTGTGAGTTAAATGCACACATCACAAGGAAGTTTCTGAGAATGCTTCTGTCTAGTTTTTATGGGAATATATTCCTATTTCCGACGAAGGCTTCAAAGCACTCCGAATATACACTTGCAGATACTATAAAAAGAGTGTTTCAAAACAGCTCTATTAAAAGGAAGGTTCAACTCTGTGAGTTGAATGCACACATAACAAAGAAGTTTCTGAGAATGCTTCTGTCCAGTTTTTATGTGAAGATATTCCCGTTTCTAATGAAGGACACAAAGCACTCAAAATATCCACTTGCAGATTCTACAAAAAGAGTGTTTCAAAACTGCTCTAGCAAAAGAAAGGTTTAACTCTTTGAGTTGCATGCAAACATCACAAGAAGTTTCTGAGAATGCTTCTGTCTAGTTTTTATGTGAAGATATTTCCTTTTCCACCATAGCACTCAAGTGCTCCAAATGTCCACTTGTAGATTCTACAATAAGTGTGTTTCAAAACTGCTCCGTCAAAAGATGGGTTAAACTCTGTGAGCTGAAAACACACATCACAATGTAGTTTCGGAGAATCTTTCTGTCTACTTTTTATGTGAAGATATTCCCATTTCCAACGAGAGCTTCAAAGCACTCCATAAATCCATTTTCATATACTAAAAAAAAGAGTGTTTCAAAACTGCTCTAACAAAAGGAAGGTTAAACTCTGTGAGTGGAATGCACACATCACAAAGAAATTTCTGAGAATGCTTCCATCTAGTTTTTATGTGGAGATATTCCCGTTTCCAACGAAGGCCTCTAACCAATAGAAATATCCACTTGCAGATTCTACAAAAAGAGTGTTTCAAAACTGCTCTATCAAAAGCAAGTTTCAACTCTGTGGGTTGAATGCACACATCATAAGGAAGTTTCTGACAATGCTTCTGCCTAGTTTTTATATGAAGATATTTCCTTTTCCACCATAGTCCTCAAAGTGCTCTAAATGTCCACTTGAAGATTCTACAATAAGAGTGTTTCAAAACTGCTCTATCAAAAGATATGTTAAACTCTGTGAGTTGAATGCACACATCACAAAGTAGTTTTTGAGAATGCTTCTGTGTAGTTTTTAGGTGAAGATATTCCTCTTTCCAATGAAGACTTCAAAGCAGTCCAATCATCCACTTGCAGATCCTTCAAAAAGACTGTTTCAAAACTCCTCTATCAAAAGGAAGGTTCAAAATCTGTGAGTTCAATGCACACATCATAAGGAAGTTTATGAGAATGCTTCTGTCTAGTTTTTATGTGACTACATTCCCGTTTCCAACGAAGGCTTCAAGGTACTCCAAATATTCAATTGCAGATACTACAAAACGAGTGTTTAAAAACTTCTCTATCAAAAGAAAGGTTCAACTCTGTGAGTTGAATGTGTGCATGACAAGTAAGTTTCTGTGAATGCTTCTGTCTAGTTTTTCTGTGAATATATTCCCATTTACAACAGAGACTTCAAAGAACTCAAAATATACACTGGCAGATACTGCAAAAAGAGCGTTTCGAAACTGCTCTATCAAAAGGAAGGTTCAACTCTGAGAGTTGAATGCACACATCACAAGGAACTTTCTGAGAATGCTTCTGTCCAGTTTTTATGTGAAGATGTTTTCGTTTACAACGAACTACAGAAAGCGGTCAAAATATCCACTTGCAGATTCTACAAAAAGAGTGTTTCAAAACTGCTATATCAAAAGACATGTTAAAATCTGTGAATTGAAGGCACACATCAGAAGCTAGTTTCTGAGAATGCTTCTTTCTAGTTTTTATATAAAGAAATTGCCCTTTTCTACCAGAGGCCTTAAACGGATGCAAATATCCATGTGTAGATTCTACAAAGAGTGTTTCAAAACTGTTCTATCAAAAGGAAGTTTCAACACTGTGAGTTGAATGCACACATCACAAAGAAGTTTCTCAGAATGCTTTTGTCTAGTTTTTAATCTGAGTATATTCCCATTTCCAACGAAGGCTTCAAACCACTCCAAATATCCACTTGCAGATACTACAGAAAGAGTGTTTCAAAACCGCTCTATCAAAAGGAAGGTTCAACTCTCTGAGTTGATTGCCCACATCACAAGGAAGATTTTGACAATGCCTCTGTCCTGTTTTTATCTGAAGATATTCCCGTTTCCAAGAAGGACAAAAAGCGCTCAAAAAATCCACTTGCAGATTCTACAAAAAGAGTCTTTCAATACCGTTCTATCAAAAGGAAGGCTCATCTCTGTGAGTTCAATGGGCACATCACAGAAAACTTTCTGAGAATGCATCTGCCTTGTTTTGATATGAAAATGTAGCCGTTTCCAATGAAGACTTCAAAGTACTCCAATTATCCCCTTGAAGAATCAACAAAAAGAGTGTTTCAAAAATGCTCTATCAAAAGGAAGGTTAAACACTGTGAGTTGAATGCACATATCACAAAAAATTTTCTGAGAATGCTTCTGTCTAACTTTTATGTGAATATATTCCAATTTCCAATGAAGGATTCAAAGCACTCCAAATATACACTTGCAGATACTACAAAAAGAGTGTTTCAAAACTGCTCTTCAAAAGAAAGGTTCAACTCTGTGAGTTGAATGCGTGCATGACAAGGAACTTTCTGAGAATGCTTCTGCCTAGTTTTTATGTGAATATATTCCCGTTTCCAACAAACGCTTCAAAGAACTCAAAATATACATTTGCAGATACTGCAAAAAGAGTGCTTCAAAACTGCTCTATCAAAAGGAAGGTTCAACTCTGGGAATTGAATGCACACATCACAAGGAAGATTCTGAGAATGATTCTGTCCAGTTTTAATGTGAAGATATTCCCGTTTCCAACGAAGGACAAAAAGCGGTCAAAATATCCACTTGCAGATTCTACAAAAAGAGTGTTTCAAAACTGCTCTATCAAAAAAAATGTTAAAATCTGTGAGTTGAGTGCACACATCAGAAGCTAGTTTCTGAGAATGCTTCTTTCTAGTTTTAATATAAATTGCCTTTTCTACCAGAGGCCTTAAAGGGATGCAAATATCCACATGTAGATACTACAAAGAGAGTGTTTCAAAACTGCTCTATCAAAAGGAGTGTTCAACTCTGTGAGTTGAATGCACACATCACAAAGTAGTTTCTGAGAATACTTCTGTCCATTTTTTATGTGAAGATGTTCCCGTTTCCAACGAATTCCTCGAATCAGTCAAAATATCCACTTGCATATTCTACAAAAAGAGTGTTTCAAAGCTGCTCTATCAAAAGGAAGGTTCAACTCTGTGAGTTGAATGCACACATCACAAAAAAAGTTTCTGACAAAGCTTCTGTCTACTTTTTATGTGAAGGTATTCCCGTTTCCAAAGAAGGCTTCAAAGGACTCCAAATATCCACTTGCAGATACTACAAAAAGAGTGTTTCAAAACTGCTCTATCTAAAGGAAGGTTCAACTCTGTGAGTTGAATGCACACATCACAAGGAAGTTTCTGAGAATGCTTCTGTCTAGTTTTTATGTGACTATATTCCCGTTTCCAACGAAGGCTTCAAAGCCCTCCAAATATCCACTTGCAGATATTATAAAAAGAGTGTTTGAAAACTGCTCTATCAAAAGGAAGGTTTAACCCTGTGAGTTGAATGCATACATCACAAAGAAGTTTCTGAGAATGCTTCTGTCCAGTTTTTATATGAAGATATTCCCGTTTCCAATGAAGGACACAAAGGGTCAAAATATCCACTTGCAGATTCTACAAAAAGAGTGTTTCAAAACTGCTGTATCTAAAGAGAGGTTCAATTCTGTGAGTTGAGTACACACATCACAAGCAGTTTCTGAGAATGCTTCTGTCTAGTTTTTATGTGAAGATATTTCCATATCCACTACAGCCCTCAAAGTGCTCCAAATGTCCACTTGCAGATTCTACAATAAGTGTGTTTCAAAACTCCTCTGTAAAAAGATAGGTTAATCTCTGTGAGTTGAATGCACGCATCACAAAGTAGTTTTGGAGAATGTTTCTGTCTAGTATTTAGGTGAAGATATTCCCGTTTCCAACGAAGGCTTCAAAGAACTCCAATTATCCACCTGCACATCCTTCAAAAAGAGTGTTTCAAAACTTCTCTATCAAAAGGAAGGTTCAAACCTGTCAGTTCAATGCACACATCACAAGGAAGTTTATGAGAATTCTTCTGTCTAGTTTTTATCTGAATATATTCCTGTTCCAACAAACGCTTCAAAGCACTCCAAATATACACTTGCAGATACTACAAGAAGAGTGTTTCAAAACTGCTCTCTCAAAAGGAGGGTTCAACGCTGTGAGTTGAATGCACACATCACAAGGAATTTTTTGAGAATGCTTCTGTCTAGTTTTTATGTGAATATATTCCCGTTTCAATGAAGGCTTCAAATCACTCCAAGTATCCACTTGCAGATACAACAAAAAGAGTGTTTCAAAACTGCTCTCTCAAAAGAAAGGCTTAACTCTGTGAGGTGAATGCACACGTTACAAGGAAGTTTCTGAGAATGCTTCTGTCAGGTTTTTATGTGAAGATATTCCCTTCTCCAACAAAGGACACAAAGAGGTCAAAATATCAACTTGCAGATTCTACAAAAAGAGTGTTTCAAAACTGCTCTAGCAAAATAAATATTTAACTCTCTGAGTTGAATGCAAACATCACAAAGAAGTGTCTGAGAATGCTTCTGTCTAGTTTTAATGTGAAGATATTTCCTTTTCCACCACAGCCCTCAAAGTGCTCCAAATGTCCACTTGCAGATTCTGCAATAAGAGTGTTTCTAAACTACTCTGCCAAAAGATAGGTTAAACTCTGTGAACTGAATGCACACATCACAAACTAGTTTTTGGGAATGCTTCTGTCTGGTTTTTAGGTGAAGATGTTCCCTTTTCCAAAGAAGGCTTCAAAGCATACGAATTATCCACTTGCAGATCCTACAAAAAGAGGGTTTCAAAACTGCTCTATCAAAAGAAAGGTTAAATTATGTGAGTTCTAAGCACAGATCACAGAGTAGTTTCTGAGGATGCTTCAGACTAATTTTTATATGAAGTTATTTCCTTTTCTACCAAAGGCCTCAAAGCGCTCCAAGTATCCACTTGCAGATTCTACCAAAAGAGTGTTTCAAAACTTCTCCATCAAAAGGAAGGTTCCACTCCGTGAGTTGAATGCACACATCACAAAGAAGTTTCTGAGAATGCATCTGTCTAGTTTTCATGTGAAGATATAGACTTTTCCAATGAAGACTTCAAAGTACTGCAATTATCCACTTACAGATTCTACAAAAAGAGTGTTTCAAAATTGCTCTATCTAAAGAAGTGTTCACCTCTGTGAGTTGAAGGCACACATCAAAAAGTAGTTTCTGAGAATCCTTCTGTCTACTTTTTATGTGAAGATATTCCCGTGTCCAAAGAAGGCTTCAATGCACTCCGAATATTCACTTGCATATACTACAAAAAGAGTGTTTCAAAACTGCTCTATCAAAAGGAAGGTTCAACTCTGTCAGTTGTATGCACACGTCACAAAGAAGTTTCTGAGAATGCTTCTGTCTAGTTTTAATCTGGAGATATTCCCGTTTCCAAGGATGGCTTGTAACCACCAGTAATAGCCACTTGCAGATTCTACAAAACGAGTGTTTCAAAACTGCTCTATCAAAAGAAAGGTTAAAACCTGTACCTGTGAGTTAAATGTACACATGAGAAACTAGATTCTGAGAATACTTCTTTCTAGTTTTTATATAAAGAAATTTCCTTTTCTACCAGAGGCCTTAAATGGATCCTAACATCCAGGTGTAGATTCTACAAAAAGAGTGTTTCAAAACTGCTCTATCAAAAGGAGTGTTCACCTCTGTGAGTTGAATGCACACATCACAAAGTAGTTTCTGAGAATCCTTCTGTCTACTTTTTAGGTGAAGATATTCCCGTTTCCAACGAAGGCTTCAAAGCACTCCAATTATCCACTTGCAGATCCAACAAAAAGAGTGTTTCAAAACTGCTCTATCAAAAGAAAGGCTAAATTCTGTGAGTTGTAAGCCCACATCACAAAGCGGTTTCTGAGAATGCTTCTGTCTAGTTTTTCTATGAAGATATTTCCTTTTCTACCATAGCCCTCAAATCTCTTCAAATATCCAATTGCAGATTCTACCAAAATGTGTTTCAAAACTGCTCTATGCACAGAAAGGTTCAACTCTGTGAGTTGAATGCAAACATCAAAAAGAAGTTTCTGAGAATGCTTCTGTCTGGTATTTATGTGATGACATTCCCGTTTCCAACGAATTCCACAAAGCATTCAAAATATCCACTTGCAGATTCTACAAAAAAAGTGTTTCAATACAGATCTATCAAAACAAAGTTTAAAATCTCTGAGTTAAATGCACGCATCAGAAACTAGATAAGGGGAATGCTTCTTTCTAGTTTTCATATAAAGAAATTGTCTTTTCTACCAGAGGCGTTAAAGCGCTCAAAATAACCATGTGTAGATTCTACAAAAAGAGTGTTTCAAATCTGCTCAATCAAAAGGAGTGTTCAACTCTCTGAGTTGAATGCACACAACACAAAGTAGTTTCTGAGAATACTTCTGTCTAGTTTTTATGTGAAGGTATTCCCGTTTCAAATGAAGGCTTCAAAGCACACCAAATATACACTTGCAGATACTACAAAAAGAGTGTTTCAAAGCTGCTCTGTCAAAAGGAAGGTTCAAATCTGTGAGTTGAATGCACACATCGCAAATAAGTTTCTGAGAATGCTTCTGTCTGGTATTTATATGAAGATGTTCCCGTTTCCAACGAATTACTCAAAGGTATTCCCGTTTCCAACGAAGGCTTCAAAGCACACCAAATATACACTTGCAGATTCTACCAAGAGAGTGTTTCAGAATGGCTCTTTGAACAGAAAGTTTCAACTCTGTGAGTTGAATGCAAACATCAGGAAGAAGTTTCTGAGAATGCTTCTGTCTGGTATTTATATGAAGATGTTCCCGTTTCCAACGAATTACTCAAAGCAGTCAAAATATCCACTTACAGTTTCTACAAAAAGAGTGTTTCAAAACTGTTCAATCAAAAGACAGGTTAAAATCTGTGAGTTAAATGCACACATCAGAAACTAGATTCTGAGAATGCTTCTTTCTAGTTTTTATGTAAAGAAATTGCCTTTTCTACAAGGGGCCTTAAAGGGCTCAAAATATCCACGTGTAGATTCTACAGAAAGAGTGTTCCAAAACTGCTCTATCAAAAGAAGTGTTCAACTCTGCGAGTTGAAGGCACACATCACAAGGAAGTTTCTGAGAATGCTTCTGTCTAGTTTTTAAGTGAATACATTTTCGTTTCCAATGAAGGCTTCAAAACACAGCAAATATGCAGTTGCAGATACCACCAAAAGCTGTTTTAAAACTGCTCAATCAAAAGGAAGGTTCAACTCTGACAGTTGAATGCACACATCACAACGAAGTTTCTGAGAATGCTTCTGTCCAGTTTTTATGTAAAAATATTCCCGTTTACAATGAAGGACACAAAGTGGTCAAAATATCCACTTGCAGATTCTACAAAAAGAGTGTTTCATAACTGCTCCAGCAATAGAAATGTTTAACTCTCTGAGTTGAACGCAAACATCACAAGAAGTTTCTGAGAATGCTTCCGTCTAGTTTTTATGTGAAGATATTTCCTTTTCCACCATAGCCCTCAAAGTGCTCCAAATGTCCACTTGCAGATTGTACAATAAGAGAGTTTCAAAACTGCTCTGTCAAAAGATAGCTTAAACTCTGTGAGTTGAATGCACACCTCACAAAGCAGTTTTTGAGAATGCTTCTGTCCGGTTTTTAGGTGAAGATATTCCCGTTTCCAACGAAGGCTTCAAAAGACTCCAATTATCCACCTGCAGATCCTGTGAAAACAGTGTTTCAAAACTGCTCTATCAAAAGAAAGGTTAAATTCTGTGAGTTTTAGGCACACATCACAAAATATTTTCTGAGAATTGTTCTATCTAGATTTTATAAAAAGATATACCCTTTTATACCATAGGCCTCAAAGCGCTCATAATATCTAATTGCAGATTCTACCAAAAGACTACTTCAAACTGCTCTATTGAAGGACATGTTCTGAATGGTAATGCCTAGGTTTTCTTCTAGGGTTTTTATGGTTTTAGGTCTAACGTTTAAGTCTTTAATCCATCTTGAATTGATTTTTGTGTAAGGTGTAAAGAAGGGATCCAGTTTCAGCTTTCTATATATGGCTAGCCAGTTTTCCAGCACCATTTATTAAATAGGGAATCCTTTCCCCATTGCTTGTTTTTCTCAGGTTTGTCAAAGATCAGGTAGTTGTAGATATGCAGCGTTATTTCTGAGGGCTCTGTTCTGTTCCATTGATCTATATCTCTGTTTTGGTTCCAGTACCATGCTGTTTTGGTTACTGTAGCCTTGTAGTATAGTTTGAAGTCAGGTAGTGTGATGCCTCCAGCTTTGTTCTTTTGGCTTAAGGTTGACTTGGTGATGCGGGCTCTTTTTTGCTTCCATATGAAATTTAAAGTAGTATTTTCCAATTCTGTGAAGAAAGGCATTGGTAGCATGATGGAGATGGCATTGAATCTGTAAATTACCTTGGGCAATATGGCCATTTTCACGATACTGATTCTACCTACCCATGAGCATGGAATGATCTTCCATTTGTTTGTATCCTCTTTTATTTCCTTGAGCAGTGGTTTGTAGTTCTCCTTTAAGGGGTCCTTCACATCCCTTGTAAGTTGGGTTCCTAAGTATTTTATTCTCTTTGAAGCAATTGTGAATGGGAGTTCACTTATGATTTGGCTCTCTGTTTGTCTGTTGTTGGTGTATAAGAATGCTTGTGATTTTTGTACATTGATTTTGTATCCTGAGACTTTGCTGAAGTTGCTTATCAGCTGAAGGAGATTTTGGGCTGAGGCAAGGGGTTTTCTAGATATACAATCATGTCTTCTGCAAACAGGGACAATTTGACTTCCTCTTTTCCTAATTGAATACCCTTTATTTCCTTCTCCTGCCTAATTGCCCTGGACAGAACTTCCAACACTATGTTGAATAGGAGTGGTGAGAGAGGACATCCCTGTCTTTTGCCAGTTTTCAAAGGGAATGCTTCCAGTTTTTGCCCATTCAGTATGATGTTGGCTGTGGGGATAGGCATGGGCAAGGACTTCATATCTAAAACACCAAAAGCAATAGCAACAAAAGACAAAATTTACAAATGGGATATAATTGAACTAAAGAGCTTCTGCACAGCAAAAGAAACTACCATCAGAGTGAACAGGCAACCTACAAAATGGGAGAAAATTTTCGCAACCTACTCATCTGACAGAGTGCTAATATCCAGAATCTACAATGAACTCAAACAAATTTACAAGAAAAAAACAAACAACCCCATCAAAAAGTGGGTGAAGGACATGAACAGACACTTCTCAAAAGAAGACATTTATGCAGCCATAAAACACATGAAAAAATGCTCATCATCACTGGCCATAAGAGAAATGCAAATCAAAACCACCATGAGATACCATCTCACACCAGTTAGAATGGCAATCATTAAAAAGTCAGGAAACAACAGGTGCTGGAAAGGATGTGGAGAAATAGGAACACTTTTACACTGTTGGTGGAACTGTAAACTAGTTCAACCATTGTGGAAGTCAGTGTGGCAATTCCTCAGGGATCTAGAACTAGAAATACCATTTGACCCAGCCATCCCATTACTTATTATATACCCAAAGGACTATAAATCATGCTGCTATAAAGACATATGCACACGTATGATTATTGCGGTATAATTCACAATAGCAAAGACTTGGAACCAACCCAAATGTCCAACAACGATAGACTGGATTAAGAAAATGTGGCACATATACACCATGGAATACAATGCAGCCATAAAAAAATGATGAGTTCATGTCCTTTGTAGGGAGATGGATGAAATTGGAAATCATCATTCTTAGTAAACTATCACAAGAACAAAAAACCAAACACCGCATATTCTCACTCATAGGTGGGAACTGAAAAATGAGATCACATGGACACAGGACGGGGACTATCACACTCTGGGGACTGTTGTGGGGTGGGGGGAGGTGGGAGGGATAGCACTGGGAGATATACCTAATGCTAGATGACGACTTAGTGGGTGCAGCGCACCAACATGGCACATGTATACATATGTAACTAACCTGCACAATGTGCACATGTACCCTAAAACTTAAAGTATAATAATAAAAAAAAGGACATGGTCAACTCTGTTAGTTGAATGCAAACATCCAAAAGATTTTTCTGAGAATGCTTCTGTATGGTATTTATGTGAAGATATTCCCGTTTTCAACGAATACCTCAAAACAGTCGAAATATCCACTTGCAGATCCCACAAAAAATGTTTCAAAACTGCTCTATCAAAAGAAAGCTTGAAATCTGTGAGTTGAATGCACACATCAGAAACTAGATTCTGAGAATCCTTCTTTCTAGTTTTTATATAAAGAAATTGCCTTTTCTTCCAGAGGCCTTACAGGGATGCAAATATCCACTTTTAGATGCAACAAAAAGAGTGTTTCAAAACTGCTTTATCAAAAGGAGTGTTCAATTCTGAGAGTTAAATGCACACATCACAAAGTTGTTTCTGAGAATAACTCCGTCTACTTTTCATGTGAAGATATTCCCGTTTTCAACGAAGTCTTCAAAGCACTCCAAATATCCACTTGCATATTCTACAAAAAGAGTGTTTAAAAACTGCTCTATCAAAAGGAATGTTCAACTCTGTGAGTTGAATGCACACATCATAAAGAAGTTTCTGAGAATGCTTCTGTCTAGTTTTTATGTGGAGATATTCCCGTTTCCAGTGAAGGTTTATAAACACTAGAATTATACACTTGCAGATTCTACAAAAAGAGTGTTTCAAAACTGCTTTATCAAAAGGAAGGTTCAACTCTGTGAGTTGAATGCACACATCACAAAGAAGTTCTGAAAATGCATCTGTCTAGTTTTCATGTAAAGATATAGACGTTTGCAATGAAGACTTCAAATTACTGCAATTATCCACTTGCAGATTCTACAAAAAGTTAGTCTCAAAACTGTTCTATCAAAAGGAACGTTCAACTCTGTGAGTTTAATGCACACATCACAGGGAAGTTTCTGAGAATGCTTCTGTCTAGTTTTTATGTGAATATATTCCCGTTTCCAACGGAAGCTTCAAAGCACACCAAATATGCACTTGCAGCTACCACAAAAAGAGTGTTTCAAAACTGCTCTATCAAAAGGAAGGTCCAACTCTGTGAGTTGAATGCACATATCACGCGGAAGTTTCTGAGAATGCTTCTGTCCAGTTTTTTGTGACGATATTCCCGTTTCCAAAGAAGGACACCAAGCGGTCAAAATATCCACATGGAGATTGTACCAAAGGAGTCTTTCAGTACTGCTCTATCAATAGGACGGTTCAACTCTGTGAGTTGAATGGGCACATCACAAAAAAGTTTCTGAGAATGCATCTGTCTTGTTTTTAGGTGAAAATATAGCCGTTTCCAATGAAGACTTCAAAGTAGTCCAACAATCCACTTGCAGATTCTACAAAAAACGTTTTTTAAAACTGCTATATCAAAAGGAAGGTTCAACTCTGTGAGTTGAATGCTCACATCAAAAGGAAGTTTCTGAGAATGCTTCCGTCTACTTTCTTTGTGAATATATTTCCGTTTCCAAAGAAGGCTTCAAAGCACTCCAAATATACACAAGCAGATACTACCAAAAGAGTGTTTCAAAACTGCTAGATCCAAAGGAAGATTCAACTCTGTCAGTTGAATGCACGTATCACAAGGAAGTTTTTGAGAATGCCTCTGTGTGGTATTTATGTGAAGATATTCCCGTTTCCAACGAATTCCTCAAAGCAGTCAAAATATCCACTTGCAGATACCACAAAAAGTGTCTCAAAACTGTTCCATCAAAAGAAAGGTTGAAATCTGTGAGTTGAATGCACACATCAGAAACTAGATTCTGAGAATGCTTCCCTCTGGTTTTTATATAAAGAAATTGCTTTTTCTACCAGAGACCTTACAGAGATCCCAGTATCCATGTGTAGGTTCAACAAGAAGAGTGTTTCAAAACTTCTCTATCAAAAGCAGTGTTCAACTCTGTGAGTTGAATGAACACATCAAAAAGTAGTTTCTCAGAATCCTTCTGTCTACTTTTTATGGGAAGATATTCCCCTTTCCAATGAAAGCTTCAAGCACTCCAATATCCACTTGCATATACTACAAAAGAGTGTTTCAAACTGCTCTATCAAAGGAAGGTCAAATCTGTGAGTTGA
>NC_000005.10:47106994-47153339 GCF_000001405.40 Homo sapiens
AGCATTCTCAGAAACTCCTTTGTGATGTGTTTGCTCAATTCAGAGAGTTGAACCTTTCTTTTGATAGAGCAGTTTTGATACACTGCTTTTGTAGAATCTGCTTGTGGATATTTGGAGCTCTTTGAGGAATTCGTTGTAAACGGGATATCTTCACATACAAACTAGACAGAAGCGTTCTCAGAAACTGCTTTGTGATGTGTGCATTCACCTCACAGAGTGGAACCGTTCTTTGGATAGAGCAGTTTTGAAACAGTCTTTCTCTAGTATCTACAAGTGTTCATTTTGAGCGCTTTGAGGCCCATGATGGAAAAGGAAATATTTTCACATAAAAACTAGACAGAAGCAATCTCATTAACTGCTTTGTGATGTGTGCATTCAGCTCACAGAGTTGAACCTTCCTTTTGAGAGAGCAGTTTTGAAACAGTTTTTTGTAGTATCCTCAAGTGGATATATGGAGCGATGTGAGGCTTAAGATGGAAACGGGAATATCTGCACATACAAACTAGATAGAAGCATTCTCAGAAACTGCTTTGTGAAGGGTGCATTCAACTCAGAGACTTGAACATTTCTTTAGACGGAGCAGTGTTGAAACACACATTTGTAGAATCTGCAAGAGTTCATTTGGAGCGCTTTGATGCCTATGGTGGAAAAAGAAATATCTTCACATAAACACTAGGAAGAAGTGTTCTCCGAAACTCCTTTGTGATATGTGTGTTCAATGCACAGAGATGAACCTTTCTTTTGATTGAGCAGTTTTGAAACACTGCTTTTCTAGAATCTGCTTGTGGATATTTGGAGCTCTTTGAGGAATTCGCTGTCAATGGGATATCTTCACATACAAACTAGCCAGAAGCATTCTCAGAAACTGCTTTGTGATGTGTGCATTCAACACACGGAGTTGAACCTTCCTTCTGAGAGAACATTTTTCACACAGTCTTTTTGTAGTATCTGCAAGTCGATATGTGGAACGCTTTGAGGCCTATGAGGGAAAAGGAACTATCTTCACATACAAACTAGACAGAAGCATGCTCAGAAACTGCTTTGTGATGTGTGCATTCAACTCACAGAGTTGAACCTTCCTTTTGAGAGAGAGGTTTTGAAACAGTCTTTTTGTAGTATATACAAGTGGATATTTTTAGTGATTTGAGGTCTAAGATGGAAAAGGAAATACCTTCACCTACAAACTAGACAGAAGCATTCTCAGAAACTGCTTTGTGATGTGTGCATTAAACTTACAGACTTGAAACCTTATTTTGATAGATCAGTGTTGAAACACACTTTTTATGGAATCTGCAAGTGTTCATTTGGAGAGCTTTGTTGCCTGTGGTGGAAAAAGAAATGTGTTCACATACAAACTAGAAAGAAGCCTTTTCAGAAACTCCTTTGAGATGTTTGTGTCCAATTTACAAAGTTGAACCTTTCTTTTGATACAGCAGATTTGAAACACTGCTTTTGTAGAATGTGCTTGTGGATATTTGGAGGTCTTTGAGGAATTGGGCGTATACGGGATATCTTCACATACAAATTACACAGAAGCATTCTCAGAAACTGCTTTGTGCTGTGTGCATTCAACTCACAGAGTTGAAACTTTCTTTTGAGAAAGCAGTTCTGAAACAGTCTTTTTGTAGTATCTGCAAGTGGATATTTGGAGCGATTTGAGGCCTATGATGGAAAAGGAAATATGTTCACATACAAACTAGACAGAAGAGTTCTCAGAAACTGCTTTGTGATGTGTGCATTCACCTCACAGAGTGGAACCGTTCTTTGGATAGAGCAGTTTTGAGACAGTCTTTCTCTAGTATCTGCAAGTGTTCATTTTGAGCGCTTTGAGGCCCATGATGGAAAAGGAAATATTTTCACATAAACCTAGACAGAAGCTTTCTCAGGAACTTCACTGAGATGTGTGCATTAAAGTAACTGAGTGGAATACGTCTTTTGATAGAGCAGTATTGAAACACTTCTTTTGTAGAATCTGCCTGTGGATATCTGGAACTCTTTGAAGAATTCTTTGGAAACGGCTATCTTCACATAAAAAGTAGACCCAAGCATTCTCAGAAAGTTCTTTGCGATATGTACATTGGACTCCCAGACTTGAACCTTTCTTTTGATAGAGCAGTGTTGGAACACACTTTTTGTAGAATCTTCATGTGTTCCTTTGGAGTGCTCTGTTGCCTATGGTGGAAAAAGGAATATCTTCACCTAAAAACCAGAGAGAAGCATTCTCAGAGACTGCTTTGTGATGTGTGTGTTCAATTCGCTGAGTTGAATGTTCCTTTTGATAGAGCAGTTTTGAAACACTGCTTTTGTAGAATCTGCTTGTTGATATTGGGGGCTCTATGAGGAATTTGTTGTAAACGGGATATCTTCACATACAAAGTAGACAGAAGCATTCTCACAAACTGCTCTGTGATGTGTGCATTCAACTCACAGAGTTGAACCTTCCTTTTGCGAGAGCTGTTTTGAAGCAGTCTTTTTGTGGTGTCTGCAATTGGATATTTGGATCGATTTGAGGCCTAAGATGGAAAAGGAAATATCTTCACATGCAAACTAGACAGAAGCATTCTCAGACACTGCGTTGTGATGTGTGCATTCAACTCACAGAGTTGAACCTTCCTTTTGAGAGCAGTTTTGAAACAGTCTTTTTGAAGTATCTGCAAGTGGATGTTTGGAGATATTTGAGGCCTAAGATGGAAAAGGATATACCTTCATCTAAAAACTAGGCAGAAGCATTCTCAGAAACTGCTTTGTGATGTGGGGATTCAACTCACAGACTTGAAACTTTCTTTTGATAGAGCAGTGTTGAAACACACTTTTTGTAGAATCTGCAAGTGTTCATTTGGAGTGCTTTCTTCCCCATGGTGGAAAAAGAAATATCTTCACCTAAAAACTAGACAGAAACATTCTCAGAAAATACTTTGTGATGTAGTTGTTCAATTCACAGGGTTGAACCTTTCTTTAGATAAAGCAGTTTTGAAACACTGCTTTTGTAGAATCTTCTTGTGGATATTTGGAGCTGTTGGAGGAATTCGTTTTATAGGAGATATCTTCACATTCAAACTAGTCAGAAGCATCCTCAGAAACTGGTTTGTGATGTGTGCATTCTACTCACAGAGTTGAACCTTCCTTTTGAGAGAACAGTTTTGAAACAATCTTTTTGTACTCTCTACAAGTGGATATTTGGAGCAATGGGAGGACTAAGATGGAAAAGGAAATATCTTCACAGCCAAACTTGACAGAAGCTTTCTCAGAATCTGCTTTGTGATGTGTGCATTCACCTCACAGAGTGGAACCGTCCTTTTGATAGAGCAGTTCTGAAACAGTCTTTTTGTAGGATCTGCGAGTGTTCATTTTGGAGAGCTTTTAAGCCTTTGGCGGAAAAGGAAATATCTTCACAGAAAACTAGACAGAGGCATGCTCAGGAACTTCATTGAGATGTGTGCATTCAAGTAACTGAGTTGAATCTGCCTTTTGATAGAGCAGAATTGAAACAATCCTTTTGTAGAATCTACTTGTGGATATTTGGAACTCTTTCAGGAATTCGTTGGTAGTTGGTATCTTCCCAAAAAAAGGAGACCCAAGCATTCTCACAAAGTTCTTTGAGATGTGTGCCTTAAACTCACAGACTTCAAACTTTCTTTTGAGAGATCAGGGTTGGAACACGCTTTTTGTAGAATCTGCAAGTGTTCATTTAGTGCGCTTTGTTGCCTACGGTGGAAAAAGAAATATCTTCAAATGAAAACTAGACAGAAACATTCTCAGAAACTCCTTTGTGAAGTGTGTGTCAAATTCACAGAATTGAAATTTTCTTTTGATAGAGCAGTTTTGAAACACCGCTTTTATAGGATCTGCTTGTGGATATTTGGAGCTCTTTGAGGATTTCGTTGTAAACGGGATATCTTCACATACAAACTAGACAGAAGCATTCTCAGAAACTGCTTAGTGATGTGTGCATTCAACTCACAGACTTGAACCTTTCTCTTGAAAGAGCAGTGTTGAAACACACATTTTGTAGGATGTGCAAGTGTTCGCTTGGAGCGTTTTTTTGCCTATGGTGGAAAAAGAAATATCTTCACATAAATACTAGACAGAAGCATTCTCAGAAACTCCTTTGTGATGTGTTTGTTCTATTCAGAGAGTTGAACCTTTCTTTTGATAGAGCAGTTTTGATACACTGCTTCTGTAGAATCTGCTTGTAGATATTTGGAGCTCTTTGAGGAATTCGTTGTAAACGGGATATCTTCACATACAAACTAGACACAAGCATTCTCAGAAACTGCTTTGTGGTGTGTGCATTCAACTCACAGAGTTGAACCTTCCTTCTGAGAGAGCAGTTTTTAAACAGTCTCTTTGAAATATCTGCAAGTGGATATTTGGAGCGATGGGAAGTCTAAGATTGAAAAGGAAATATCCTCACATACAAACCAGACAGAAGCAATCTCATTAACTGCTTTGTGATGTGTGCATTCAGCTCACAGAGTTGAACCTTCCTTTTGAGAGAGCAGTTTTGAAACAGTTTTTTGTAGTATCCTCAAGTGGATATATGGAGCGATGTGAGGCTTAAGATGGAAACGGGAATATCTGCACATACAAACTAGGTGGAAACATTCTCAGAAACTGCTTTGTGATGGGTGCATTCAACTTAGAGACTTGAACATTTCTTTAGACGGAGCAGTGTTGAAACACACATTTGTAGAATCTGCAAGAGTTCATTTGGAGCGCTTTGATGCCTATGGTGGAAAAAGAAATATCTTCACATAAACACTAGGAAGAAGCGTTCTCCGAAACTCCTTTGTGATATGTGTGTTCAATGCACAGAGGTGAACCTTTCTTTAGATTGAGCAGTTTTGAAACACTGCTTTTCTAGAATCTGCTTGTGGATATTTGGAGCTCTTTGAGGAATTCGCTGTCAAAGGGATATCTTCACATACAAAGTAGCCAGAAGCATTCTCAGAAACTGCTTTGTGATGTGTGCATTCAACACACGGAATTGAACCTTCCTTCTGAGAGAACAGTTTTCAAACAGTCTTTTTGTAGTATCTGCAAGTCGATATTTGGAACGCTTTGAGGCCTATGAGGGAAAAGGAACTATCTTCACATACAAACTAGACAGAAGCATGCTCAGAAACTGCTTTGTGATGTGTGCATTCAACTCACAGAGTTGAACCTTCCTTTTGAGAGAGAGGTTTTGAAACCTTCTTTTTGTAGTATATACAAGTGGATATTTTCAGTGATTTGAGGTCTAAGATGGAAAAGGGAATACCTTCACCTACAAACTAGACAGAAGCATTCTCAGAAACTGCTTTTGATGTGTGCATTAAACGTACAGACTTGAAACCTTATTTTGATAGAGCAGTGTTGAAACACACTTTTTATAGAATCTGCAAGTGTTCATTTGGAGAGCTTCGTTGCCTGTGGTGGAAAAAGAAATGTGTTCACATACAAACTAGAAAGAAGCCTTCTCAGAAACTCCTTTGAGATGTTTGTGTCCAATTCACAAAGTTGAACCTTTCTTCTGATACAGCAGATTTGAAACACTGCTTTTGTAGAATGTGCTTGTGGATATTTGGAGGTCTTTGAGGAATTGGGCGTATACGGGATATCTTCACATACAAATTACACAGAAGCATTCTCAGAAACTGCTTTGTGCTGTGTGCATTCAACTCACAGAGTTGAAACTTTCTTTTGAGAAAGCAGTTCTGAAACAGTCTTTCTGTAGTATCTGCAAGTGGATATTTGGAGCGATTTGAGGCCTATGATGGAAAAGGAAATATGTTCACATACAAACTAGACAGAAGAGTTCTCAGAAACTGCTTTGTGATGTGTGCATTCACCTCACATAGTGGAACCGTTCTTTGGATAGAGCAGTTTTGAGACAGTCTTTCTCTAGTATCTGCAAGTGTTCATTTTGAGCGCTTTGAGGCCCATGATGGAAAAGGAAATATTTTCACATAAACCTAGACAGAAGCTTTCTCAGGAACTTCATAGAGATGTGTGTATTAAAGTAACTGAGTTGAATAGGTCTTTTGATAGAGCAGTATTGAACCACTTCTTTTGTAGAATCTGCCTGTGGATATCTGGAACTCTTTGAAGAATTCTTTGGAAACGGCTATCTTCACATAAAAAGTAGACCCAAGCATTCTCAGAAAGTTCTTTGTGATATGTACATTGGACTCCCAGACTTGAACCTTTCTTTTGATAGAGCAGTGTTGGAACACACTTTTTGTAGAATCTTCATGTGTTCGTTTGGAGTGCTTTGTTGCCTCTGGTGGAAAAAGGAATATCTTCACCTAAAAACCAGACAGAAGCATTCTCAGAGACTGCTTTGTGATGTGTGTGTTCAATTCGCAGAGTTGAAAGTTGCTTTGGATAGAGCAGTTTTGAAACACTGCTTTTGTAGAATCTGCTTGTTGCTATTGGGGGCTCTTTGAGGAATTTGTTGTAAACGGGATATCTTCACATACAAAGTAGACAGAAGCATTCTCACAAACTGCTCTGTGATGTGTGCATTCAACTCACAGAGTTGAACCTTCCTTTTGCGAGAGCTGTTTTGAAGCAGTCTTTTTGTGGTGTCTGCAATTGGATATTTGGATCGATTTGAGGCCTAAGATGGAAAAGGAAATATCTTCACATGCAAACTAGACAGAAGCGTTCTCAGACACTGCGTTGTGATGTGTGCATTCAACTCACAGAGTTGAACCTTCCTTTTGAGAGCAGTTTTGAAACAGTCTTTTTGAAGTATCTGCAAGTGGATGTTTGGAGAGATTTGAGGCCTAAGATGGAAAAGGATATACCTTCACCTAAAAACTAGGCAGAAGCATTCTCAGAAACTGCTTTGTGATGTGGGGATTCAACTCACAGACTTGAAACTTTCTTTTGATAGAGCAGTGTTGAAACACACTTTTTGTAGAATCTGCAAGTGTTCATTTGGAGTGCTTTCTTCCCCATGGTGGAAAAAGAAATATCTTCACCTAAAAACTAGACAGAAACATTCTCAGAAAATACTTTGTGATGTAGTTGTTCAATTCACAGGGTTGAACCTTTCTTTAGATAAAGCAGTTTTGAAACACTGCTTTTGTAGAATCTTCTTGTGGATATTTGGAGCTGTTTGAGGAATTCGTTTTAAACGGGATATCTTCACATTCAAACTAGTCAGAAGCATCCTCAGAAACTGGTTTGTGATGTGTGCATTCTACTCACAGAGTTGAACCTTCCTTTTGAGAGAACAGTTTTGAAACAATCTTTTTGTACTCTCTACAAGTAGATATTTGGAGCAATGGGAGGACTAAGATGGAAAAGGAAATATCTTCACAGCCAAACTTGACAGAAGCTTTCTCAGAATCTGCTTTGTGATGTGTGCATTCACCTCACAGAGTGGAACCGTCCTTTTGATAGAGCAGTTCTGAAACAGTCTTTTTGTAGGATCTGCGAGTGTTCATTTTGGAGAGCTTTTAAGCCTTTGGCGGAAAAGGAAATATCTTCACAGAAAACTAGACAGAGGCATGCTCAGGAACTTCATTGAGATGTGTGCATTCAAGTAACTGAGTTGAATCTGCCTTTTGATAGAGCAGAATTGCAACACTCCTTTTGTAGAATCTGCTTGTGGATATTTGGAACTCTTTCAGGAATTCGTTGGCAGCTGGTATCTTCCCAAAAAAAGGAGAACCAAGCATTCTCACAAAGTTCTTTGAGATGTGTGCCTTAAACTCACAGACTTCAAACTTTCTTTTGAGAGATCAGGGTTGGAACACGCTTTTTGTAGAATCTGCAAGTGTTCATTTAGTGCGCTTTGTTGCCTACGGTGGAAAAAGAAATATCTTCAAATGAAAACTAGACAGAAACATTCTCAGAAACTCCTTTGTGAAGTGTGTGTCAAATTCACAGAATTGAAATTTTCTTTTGATAGAGCAGTTTTGAAACACCGCTTTTATAGGATCTGCTTGTGGATATTTGGAGCTCTTTGAGGATTTCGTTGTAAACGGGATATCATCACATACAAACTAGACAGAAGCATTCTCAGAAACTGCTTAGTGATGTGTGCATTCAACTCACAGACTTGAACCTTTCTCTTGAAAGAGCAGTGTTGAAACACACATTTTGTAGGATGTGCAAGTGTTCACTTGGAGCGTTTTTTTGCCTATGGTGGAAAAAGAATTATCTTCACATAAATACTAGACAGAAGCATTCTCAGAAACTCCTTTGTGATGTGTTTGTTCTATTCAGAGAGTTGAACCTTTCTTTTGATAGAGCAGTTTTGATAGACTGCTTCTGTAGAATCTGCTTGTGGATATTTGGAGCTCTTTGAGGAATTCGTTGTAAACGGGATATCTTCACATACAAACTAGACACAGGCATTCTCAGAAACTGCTTTGTGGTGTGTGCATTCAACTCACAGAGTTGGACCTTCCTTCTGAGAGAGCAGTTTTTAAACAGTCTCTTTGAAATATCTGCAAGTGGATACTTGGAGCGATGGGAAGTCTAAGATTGAAAAGGAAATATCCTCACATGCAAACTAGACAGAAGCAATCTCATTAACTGCTTTGTGATGTGTGCATTCAGCTCACCGAGTTGAACCTTCCTTTTGAGAGAGCAGTTTTGAAACAGTTTTTTGTAGTATCCTCAAGTGGATATATGGAGCAATGTGAGGCTTAAGATGGAAACGGGAATATCTGCACATACAAACTAGGTAGAAGCATTCTCAGAAACTGCTTTGTGATGGGTGCATTCAACTCAGAGACTTGAACATTTCTTTAGACGGAGCAGTGTTGAAACACACATTTGTAGAATCTGCAAGAGTTCATTTGGAGCGCTTTGATGCCTATGGTGGAAAAAGAAATATCTTCACATAAACACTAGAAAGAAGCGTTCTCCGAAACTCCTTTGTGATATGTGTGTTCAATGCACAGAGGTGAACCTTTCTTTAGATTGAGCAGTTTTGAAACACTGATTTTCTAGAATCTGCTTGTGGATATTTGGAGCTCTTTGAGGAATTCGCTGTCAAAGGGATATCTTCACATACAAACTAGCCAGAAGCATTCTCAGAAACTGCTTTGTGATATGTGCATTCAACACACGGAGTTGAACCTTCCTTCTGAGAGAACAGTTTTCAAACAGTCTTTTTGTAGTATCTGCAAGTCGATATTTGGAACGCTTTGAGGCCTATGAGGGAAAAGGAACTATCTTCACATACAAACTAGACAGAAGCATGCTCAGAAACTGCTTTGTGATGTGTGCATTCAACTCACAGAGTTGAACCTTCCTTTTGAGAGAGAGGTTTTGAAACCTTCTTTTTGTAGTATATACAAGTGGATATTTTCAGTGATTTGAGGTCTAAGATGGAAAAGGGAATACCTTCACCTACAAACTAGACAGAAGCATTCTCAGTAACTGCTTTGTGATGTGTGCATTAAACTTACAGACTTGAAACCTTATTTTGATAGATCAGTGTTGAAACACACTTTTTATGGAATCTGCAAGTGTTCATTTGGAGAGCTTTGTTGCCTGTGGTGGAAAAAGAAATGTGTTCACATACAAACTAGAAAGAAGCCTTCTCAGAAACTCCTTTGAGATGTTTGTGTCCAATTCACAAAGTTGAACCTTTCTTTTGATACAGCAGATTTGAAACACTGCTTTTGTAGAATGTGCTTGTGGATATTTGGAGGTCTTTGAGGAATTGGGCGTATACGGGATATCTTCACATACAAATTACACAGAAGCATTCTCAGAAACTGCTTTGTGATGTGCGCATTCAACTCACAGAGTTGAAACTTTCTTTTGAGAAAGCAGTTTTGAAACAGTCTTTTTATAGTATCTGCAAGTGGATATTTGGAGCGATTTGAGGCCTATGATGGAAAAGGAAATATGTTCACATACAAACTAGACAGAAGAGTTCTCAGAAACTGCTTTGTGATGTGTGCATTCACCTCACAGAGTGGAACCGTTCTTTGGATAGAGCAGTTTTGAAACAGTCTTTCTCTAGTATCTGCAAGTGTCCATTTTGAGCGCTTTGAGGCCCATGATGGAAAAGGAAATATTTTCACATAAAAACTAGACAGAAGCTTTCTCAGGAACTTCATTGAGATGTGTGCATTAAAGAAACTGAGTTGAATACGTCTTTTGATAGAGCAGTATAGAAACACTTCTTTTGTAGAATCTGCCTGTGGATATCTGGAACTCTTTGAAGAATTCTTTGGAAACGGCTATCTTCACATAAAAAGTAGACCCAAGCATTCTCAGAAAGTTCTTTGTGATATGTACATTGGACTCCCAGACTTGAACCTTTCTTTTGATAGAGCAGTGTTGGAACACACTTTTTGTAGAATCTTCATGTGTTCGTTTGGAGTGCTTTGTTGCCTCTGGTGGAAAAAGGAATATCTTCACCTAAAAACCAGACAGAAGCATTCTCAGAGACTGCTTTGTGATGTGTGTGTTCAATTCGCAGAGTTGAAAGTTGCTTTTGATAGAGCAGTTTTGAAACACTGCTTTTGTAGAATCTGCTTGTTGCTATTGGGGGCTCTTTGAGGAATTTGTTGTAAACGGGATATCTTCACATACAAACTAGACAGAAGCATTCTCAGAAACTGCTCTGTGATGTGCGCATTCAACTCACAGAGTTGAACCTTCCTTTTGCGAGAGCTGTTTTGAAGCAGTCTTTTTGTGGTGTCTGCAATTGGATATTTGGATCGATTTGAGGCCTAAGATGGAAAAGGAAATATCTTCACATACAAACTAGACATAAGCATTCTCAGACACTGCGTTGTGATGTGTGCATTCAACTCACAGAGTTGAACCTTCCTTTTGAGAGCAGTTTTGAAACAGTCTTTTTGAAGTATCTGCAAGTGGATGTTTGGAGATATTTGAGGCCTAAGATGGAAAAGGATATACCTTCATCTAAAAACTAGGCAGAAGCATTCTCAGAAACTGCTTTGTGATGTGGGGATTCAACCCACAGACTTGAAACTTTCTTTTGATAGAGCAGTGTTGAAACACACTTTTTGTAGAATCTGCAAGTGTTCATTTGGAGTGCTTTCTTCCCCATGGTGGAAAAAGAAATATCTTCACCTAAAAACTAGAGAGAAACATTCTCAGAAAATACTTTGTGATGTAGTTGTTCAATTCACAGGGTTGAACCTTTCTTTAGATAAAGCAGTTTTGAAACACTGCTTTTGTAGAATCTTCTTGTGGATATTTGGAGCTGTTTGAGGAATTCGTTTTAAACGGGATATCTTCACATTCAAACTAGTCAGAAGCATCCTCAGTAAACTGGTTTGTGATGTGTGCATTCTACTCACAGAGTTGAACCTTCCTTTTGAGAGAACAGTTTTGAAACAATCTTTTTGTACTATCTGCAAGTGGATATTTGGAACAATGGGAGGACTAAGATGGAAAAGGAAATATCTTCACAGCCAAACTTGACAGAAGCTTTCTCAGAATCTGCTTTGTGATGTGTGCATTCACCTCACAGAGTGGAACCGTCCTTTTGATAGAGCAGTTCTGAAACAGTCTTTTTGTAGGATCTGCGAGTGTTCATTTTGGAGAGCTTTTAAGCCTTTGGCGGAAAAGGAAATATCTTCACAGAAAACTAGACAGAGGCATGCTCAGGAACTTCATTGAGATGTGTGCATTCAAGTAACTGAGTTGAATCTGCCTTTTGATAGAGCAGAATTGCAACACTCCTTTTGTAGAATCTGCTTGTGGATATTTGGAACTCTTTCAGGAATTCGTTGGCAGCTGGTATCTTCCCAAAAAAAGGAGAACCAAGCATTCTCACAAAGTTCTTTGAGATGTGTGCCTTAAACTCACAGACTTCAAACTTTCTTTTGAGAGATCAGGGTTGGAACACGCTTTTTGTAGAATCTGCAAGTGTTCATTTAGTGCGCTTTGTTGCCTACGGTGGAAAAAGAAATATCTTCAAATGAAAACTAGACAGAAACATTCTCAGAAACTCCTTTGTGAAGTGTGTGTCAAATTCACAGAATTGAAATTTTCTTTTGATAGAGCAGTTTTGAAACACCGCTTTTATAGGATCTGCTTGTGGATATTTGGAGCTCTTTGAGGATTTCGTTGTAAACGGGATATCTTCACATACAAACTAGACAGAAGAATTCTCAGAAACTGCTTTGTGATGTGTGCATTCAACTCACAGACTTGAACCTTTCTTTTGAAAGAGCAGTGTTGAAACACACATTTTGTAGGATGTGCAAGTGTTCACTTGGAGCGCTTTTTTGCCTATGGTGGAAAAAGCAATATCTTCACATAAATACTAGACAGAAGCATTCTCAGAAACTCCTTTGTGTTGTGTTTGTTCTATTCAGAGAGTTGAACCTTTCTTTTGATAGAGCAGTTTTGATACACTGCTTCTGTAGAATCTGCTTGTGGATATTTGGAGCTCTTTGAGGAATTCGTTGTAAACGGGATATCTTCACATACAAACTAGACAGAAGCATTCTCAGAAACTGCTTTGTGGTGTGTGCATTCAAGTCACAGAGTTGAACCTTCCTTCTGAGAGAGCAGTTTTTAAACAGTCTCTTTGAAATATCTGCAAGTGGATATTTGGAGCGATGGGAAGTCTAAGATTGAAAAGGAAATATCCTCACATACAAACTAGACAGAAGCAATCTCATTAACTGCTTTGTGATGTGTGCATTCAGCTCACAGAGTTGAACCTTCCTTTTCAGAGAGCAGTTTTGAAACAGTTTTTTGTAGTATCCTCAAGTGGACATATGGAGCGACGTGAGGCTTAAGATGGAAACGGGAATATCTTCACATACAAACTAGATAGAAGCATTCTCAGAAACTGCTTTGTGATGGGTGCATTCAACTCAGAGACTTGAACATTTCTTTAGACGGTGCAGTGTTGATACACACATTTGTAGAATCTGCAAGAGTTCATTTGGAGCGCTTTGATGCCTATGGTGGAAAAAGAAATATCTTCACATAAACACTAAAAAGAAGCGTTCTCCGAAACTCCTTTGTGATATGTGTGTTCAATTCACAGAGTTGAACCTTTCTTTTGATTGAGCAGTTTTGAAACACTGCTTTTCTAGAATCTGCTTGTGGATATTTGGAGCTCTTTGAGGAATTCGCTGTCAATGGGATATCTTCACACACAAACTAGCCAGAAGCATTCTCAGAAACTGCTTTGTGATGTGTGCATTCAACACACGGAGTTGAACCTTCCTTCTGAGAGAGCAGTTTTGGAACAGTCTTTTTGTAGAATCTGCAAGTGGATATTTGGAGCGATTTGAGGCCTATGATGGAAAAGGAAATATCTTCACATAAAAAATAGACAGAAGCATTGTCAGAAACTGGTTTGTAATGTGCGCATTCAACTCACGGTCTTGAACCTTTCTTTTGATAGAGCAGTGAGGAAACACACTTTTTGTAGAATCTGCAAGTGTTCATTTGGAGAGGTTTGTTGCCTATGCTGGAAACAGAAATATCTTCACGCAAAAACTAGACAGAAACATTCTCAGAAAATACTTTGTGATGTAGTTGTTCAATTCACAGGGTTGAACCTTTCTTTAGATAAAGCAGTTTTGAAACACTGCTTTTGTAGAATCTTCTTGTGGATATTTGGAGCTGTTTGAGGAATTCGTTTTAAACGGGATATCTTCACATTCAAACTAGTCAGAAGCATCCTCAGAAACTGGTTTGTGATGTGTGCATTCTACTCACAGAGTTGAACCTTCCTTTTGAGAGAACAGTTTTGAAACAATCTTTTTGTACTATCTGCAAGTGGATATTTGGAACAATGGGAGGACTAAGATGGAAAAGGAAATATCTTCACAGCCAAACTTGACAGAAGCTTTCTCAGAATCTGCTTTGTGATGTGTGCATTCACCTCACAGAGTGGAACCGTCCTTTTGATAGAGCAGTTCTGAAACAGTCTTTTTGTAGGATCTGCGAGTGTTCATTTTGGAGAGCTTTTAAGCCTTTGGCGGAAAAGGAAATATCTTCACAGAAAACTAGACAGAGGCATGCTCAGGAACTTCATTGAGATGTGTGCATTCAAGTAACTGAGTTGAATCTGCCTTTTGATAGAGCAGAATTGCAACACTCCTTTTGTAGAATCTGCTTGTGGATATTTGGAACTCTTTCAGGAATTCGTTGGCAGCTGGTATCTTCCCAAAAAAAGGAGAACCAAGCATTCTCACAAAGTTCTTTGAGATGTGTGCCTTAAACTCACAGACTTCAAACTTTCTTTTGAGAGATCAGGGTTGGAACACGCTTTTTGTAGAATCTGCAAGTGTTCATTTAGTGCGCTTTGTTGCCTACGGTGGAAAAAGAAATATCTTCAAATGAAAACTAGACAGAAACATTCTCAGAAACTCCTTTGTGAAGTGTGTGTCAAATTCACAGAATTGAAATTTTCTTTTGATAGAGCAGTTTTGAAACACCGCTTTTATAGGATCTGCTTGTGGATATTTGGAGCTCTTTGAGGATTTCGTTGTAAACGGGATATCTTCACATACAAACTAGACAGAAACATTCTCAGAAACTGCTTTGTGATGTGCGCATTCAACTCACAGACTTGCACCTTTCTCTTGAAAGAGCAGTGTTGAAACATACATTTTCTAGGATGTGCAAGTGTTCACTTGGAGCGCTTTTTTGCCTATGGTGGAAAAAGAAATATCTTCACATAAATACTAGACAGAATCATTCTCAGAAACTCCTTTGTGATGTGTTTGTTCTATTCAGAGAGTTGAACCTTTCTTTTGATAGAGCAGTTTTGATACACTGCTTTTGTAGAATCTGCTTGTGGATATTTGGAGCTCTTTGAGGAATTCGTTGTAAACGGGATATCTTCACATACAAACTAGACCCAAGCATTCTCAGAAACTGCTTTGTGGTGGGTGCATTCAACTCACAGAGTTGAACCTTCCTTCTGAGAGAGCAGTTTTTAAACAGTCTCTTTGAAATATCTGCAAGTGGATATTTGGAGCGATGGGAAGTCTAAGATTAAAAAGGAAATATCCTCACATACAAACTAGACAGAAGCAATCTCATTAACTGCTTTGTGATGTGTGCATTCATCTCAGAGAGTTGAACCTTCCTTTTCAGAGAACAGTTTTGAAACAGTTTTTTGTAGTATCCTCAAGTGGACATATGGAGCGACGTGAGGCTTAAGATGGAAACGGGAATATCTTCACATACAAACTAGATAGAAACATTCTCAGAAACTGCTTTGTGATGGGTGCATTCAACTTAGAGACTTGAACATTTCTTTAGACGGAGCAGTGTTGAAACACACATTTGTAGAATCTGCAAGAGTTCATTTGGAGCGCTTTGATGCCTATGGTGGAAAAAGAAATATCTTCACATAAACACTAGGAAGAAGCATTGTCAGAAACTGCTTTGTGCTGTGTGCATTCAACTCACAGAGTTGAAACTTTCTTTTGAGAAAGCAGTTCCGAAACAGTCTTTTTGTAGTATCTGCAAGTGGATATTTGGAGCGATTTGAGGCCTATGATGGAAAAGGAAATATGTTCACATACAAACTAGACAGAAGCGTTCTCAGAAACTGCTTTGTGATGTGTGCATTCACCTCACAGAGTGGAACCGTTCTTTGGATAGAGCAGTTTTGAAACAGTCTTTCTCTAGTATCTGCAAGGGTTCATTTTGAGCGCTTTGAGGCCCATGATGGAAAAGGAAATATTTTCACATAAAAACTAGACAGAAGCTTTCTCAGGAACTTCATTGAGATGTGTGCATTAAAGTAACTGAGTGGAATACGTCTTTTGATAGAGCAGTATTGAAACACTTCTTTTGTAGAATCTGCCTGTGGATATCTGGAACTCTTTGAAGAATTCTTTGGAAACGGCTATCTTCACATAAAAAGTAGACCCAAGCATTCTCAGAAAGTTCTTTGTGATATGTACATTGGACTCCCAGACTTGAACCTTTCTTTTGATAGAGCAGTGTTGGAACACACTTTTTGTAGAATCTTCATGTGTTCGTTTGGAGTGCTTTGTTGCCTCTGGTGGAAAAAGGAATATCTTCACCTAAAAACCAGACAGAAGCATTCTCAGAGACTGCTTTGTGATGTGTGTGTTCAATTCGCAGAGTTGAAAGTTGCTTTGGATAGAGCAGTTTTGAAACACTGCTTTTGTAGAATCTGCTTGTTGCTATTGGGGGCTCTTTGAGGAATTTGTTGTAAACGGGATATCTTCACATACAAAGTAGACAGAAGCATTCTCAGAAACTGCTCTGTGATGTGCGCATTCAACTCACAGAGTTGAACCTTCCTTTTGCGAGAGCTGTTTTGAAGCAGTCTTTTTGTGGTGTCTGCAATTGGATATTTGGATCGATTTGAGGCCTAAGATGGAAAAGGAAATATCTTCACATACAAACTAGACATAAGCATTCTCAGACACTGCGTTGTGATGTGTGCATTCAACTCACAGAGTTGAACCTTCCTTTTGAGAGCAGTTTTGAAACAGTCTTTTTGAAGTATCTGCAAGTGGATGTTTGGAGATATTTGAGGCCTAAGATGGAAAAGGATATACCTTCATCTAAAAACTAGGCAGAAGCATTCTCAGAAACTGCTTTGTGATGTGGGGATTCAACTCACAGACTTGAAACTTTCTTTTGATAGAGCAGTGTTGAAACACACTTTTTGTAGAATCTGCAAGTGTTCATTTGGAGTGCTTTCTTCCCCATGGTGGAAAAAGAAATATCTTCACCTAAAAACTAGACAGAAACATTCTCAGAAAATACTTTGTGATGTAGTTGTTCAATTCACAGGGTTGAACCTTTCTTTAGATAAAGCAGTTTTGAAACACTGCTTTTGTAGAATCTTCTTGTGGATATTTGGAGCTGTTGGAGGAATTCGTTTTATAGGGGATATCTTCACATTCAAACTAGTCAGAAGCATCCTCAGAAACTGGTTTGTGATGTGTGCATTCTACTCACAGAGTTGAACCTTCCTTTTGAGAGAACAGTTTTGAAACAATCTTTTTGTACTCTCTACAAGTGGATATTTGGAGCAATGGGAGGACTAAGATGGAAAAGGAAATATCTTCACAGCCAAACTTGACAGAAGCTTTCTCAGAATCTGCTTTGTGATGTGTGCATTCACCTCACAGAGTGGAACCGTCCTTTTGATAGAGCAGTTCTGAAACAGTCTTTTTGTAGGATCTGCGAGTGTTCATTTTGGAGCGCTTTTAAGCCTTTGGCGGAAAAGGAAATATCTTCACAGAAAACTAGACAGAGGCATGCTCAGGAACTTCATTGAGATGTGTGCATTCAAGTAACTGAGTTGAATCTGCCTTTTGATAGAGCAGAATTGCAACACTCCTTTTGTAGAATCTGCTTGTGGATATTTGGAACTCTTTCAGGAATTCGTTGGCAGCTGGTATCTTCCCAAAAAAAGGAGAACCAAGCATTCTCACAAAGTTCTTTGAGATGTGTGCCTTAAACTCACAGACTTCAAACTTTCTTTTGAGAGATCAGGGTTGGAACACGCTTTTTGTAGAATCTGCAAGTGTTCATTTAGTGCGCTTTGTTGCCTACGGTGGAAAAAGAAATATCTTCAAATGAAAACTAGACAGAAACATTCTCAGAAACTCCTTTGTGAAGTGTGTGTCAAATTCACAGAATTGAAATTTTCTTTTGATAGAGCAGTTTTGAAACACCGCTTTTATAGGATCTGCTTGTGGATATTTGGAGCTCTTTGAGGATTTCGTTGTAAACGGGATATCTTCACATACAAACTAGACAGAAGCATTCTCAGAAACTGCTTAGTGATGTGTGCATTCAACTCACAGACTTGAACCTTTCTCTTGAAAGAGCAGTGTTGAAACACACATTTTGTAGGATGTGCAAGTGTTCACTTGGAGCGTGTTTTTGTCTATGGTGGAAAAAGAAATATCTTCACATAAATACTAGACAGAAGCATTCTCAGAAACTCCTTTGTGATGTGTTTGTTCTATTCAGAGAGTTGAACCTTTCTTTTGATCGAGCAGTTTTGATACACTGCTTCTGTAGAATCTGCTTGTGGATATTTGGAGCTCTTTGAGGAATTCGTTGTAAACGGGATATCTTCACATACAAACTAGACACAAGCATTCTCAGAAACTGCTTTGTGGTGTGTGCATTCAAGTCACAGAGTTGAACCTTCCTTCTGAGAGAGCAGTTTTTAAACAGTCTCTTTGAAATATCTGCAAGTGGATATTTGGAGCGATGGGAAGTCTAAGATTGAAAAGGAAATATCCTCACATACAAACTAGACAGACGCAATCTCATTAACTGCTTTGTGATGTGTGCATTCAGCTCGCAGAGTTGAACCTTCCTTTTGAGAGAGCAGTTTTGAAACAGTTTTTTGTAGTGTCCTCAAGTGGACATATGGAGCGACGTGAGGCTTAAGATGGAAACGGGAATATCTGCACATACAAACTAGATAGAAGCATTCTCAGAAACTGCTTTGTGATGGGTGCATTCAACTCAGAGACTTGAACATTTCTTTAGACGGAGCAGTGTTGAAACACACATTTGTAGAATCTGCAAGGGTTCATTTGGAGCGCTTTGATGCCTATGGTGGAAAAAGAAATATCTTCACATAAACACTAGAAAGAAGCGTTCTCCGAAACTCCTTTGTGATATGTGTGTTCAATGCACAGAGGTGAACCTTTCTTTAGATTGAGCAGTTTTGAAACACTGCTTTTCTAGAATCTGCTTGTGGATATTTGGAGCTCTTTGAGGAATTCGCTGTCAAAGGGATATCTTCACATACAAAGTAGCCAGAAGCATTCTCAGAAACTGCTTTGTGATGTGTGCATTCAACACACGGAGTTGAACCTACCTTCTGAGAGAACAGTTTTCACACAGTCTTTTTGTAGTATCTGCAAGTCGATATTTGGAACGCTTTGAGGCCTATGAGGGAAAAGGAACTATCTTCACATACAAACTAGACAGAAGCATGCTCAGAAACTGCTTTGTGATGTGTGCATTCAACTCACAGAGTTGAACCTTCCTTTTGAGAGAGAGGTTTTGAAACCTTCTTTTTGTAGTATATACAAGTGGATATTTTTAGTGATTTGAGGTCTAAGATGGAAAAGGGAATACCTTCACCTACAAACTAGACAGAAGCATTCTCAGAAACTGCTTTTGATGTGTGCATTAAACGTACAGACTTGAAACCTTATTTTGATAGAGCAGTGTTGAAACACACTTTTTATAGAATCGGCAAGTGTTCATTTGGAGAGCTTCGTTGCCTGTGGTGGAAAAAGAAATGAGTTCACATACAAACTAGAAAGAAGCCTTCTCAGAAACTCCTTTGAGATGTTTGTGTCCAATTCACAAAGTTGAACCTTTCTTTTGATACAGCAGATTTGAAACACTGCTTTTGTAGAATGTGCTTGTGGATATTTGGAGGTCTTTGAGGAATTGGGCGTATACGGGATATCTTCACATACAAATTACACAGAAGCATTGTCAGAAACTGCTTTGTGCTGTGTGCATTCAACTCACAGAGTTGAAACTTTCTTTTGAGAAAGCAGTTCCGAAACAGTCTTTTTGTAGTATCTGCAAGTGGATATTTGGAGCGATTTGAGGCCTATGATGGAAAAGGAAATATGTTCACATACAAACTAGACAGAAAGAGTTCTCAGAAACTGCTTTGTGATGTGTGCATTCACCTCACAGAGTGGAACCGTTCTTTGGATAGAGCAGTTTTGAAACAGTCTTTCTCTAGTATCTGCAAGTGTTCATTTTGAGCGCTTTGAGGCCCATGATGGAAAAGGAAATATTTTCACATAAAAACTAGACAGAAGCTTTCTCAGGAACTTCATTGAGATGTGTGCATTAAAGTAACTGAGTGGAATACGTCTTTTGATAGAGCAGTATTGAAACACTTCTTTTGTAGAATCTGCCTGTGGATATCTGGAACTCTTTGAAGAATTCTTTGGAAACGGCTATCTTCACATAAAAAGTAGACCCAAGCATTCTCAGAAAGTTCTTTGCGATATGTACATTGGACTCCCAGACTTGAACCTTTCTTTTGATAGAGCAGTGTTGGAACACACTTTTTGTAGAATCTTCATGTGTTCCTTTGGAGTGCTTTGTTGCCTATGTTGGAAAAAGGAATATCTTCACCTAAAAACCAGACAGAAGCATTCTCAGAGACTGCTTTGTGATGTGTGTGTTCAATTCGCAGAGTTGAAAGTTGCTTTTGATAGAGCAGTTTTGAAACACTGCTTTTGTAGAATCTGCTTGTTGCTATTGGGGGCTCTTTGAGGAATTTGTTGTAAACGGGATATCTTCACATACAAACTAGACAGAAGCATTCTCAGAAACTGCTCTGTGATGTGCGCATTCAACTCACAGAGTTGAACCTTCCTTTTGCGAGAGCTGTTTTGAAGCAGTCTTTTTGTGGTGTCTGCAATTGGATATTTGGATCGATTTGAGGCCTAAGATGGAAAAGGAAATATCTTCACATACAAACTAGACATAAGCGTTCTCAGACACTGCGTTGTGATGTGTGCATTCAACTCACAGAGTTGAACCTTCCTTTTGAGAGCAGTTTTGAAACAGTCTTTTTGAAGTATCTGCAAGTGGATGTTTGGAGAGATTTGAGGCCTAAGATGGAAAAGGATATACCTTCACCTAAAAACTAGGCAGAAGCATTCTCAGAAACTGCTTTGTGATGTGGGGATTCAACCCACAGACTTGAAACTTTCTTTTGATAGAGCAGTGTTGAAACACACTTTTTGTAGAATCTGCAAGTGTTCATTTGGAGTGCTTTCTTCCCCATGGTGGAAAAAGAAATATCTTCACCTAAAAACTAGAGAGAAACTTTCTCAGAAAATACTTTGTGATGTAGTTGTTCAATTCACAGGGTTGAACCTTTCTTTAGATAAAGCAGTTTTGAAACACTGCTTTTGTAGAATCTTCTTGTGGATATTTGGAGCTGTTTGAGGAATTCGTTTTAAACGGGATATCTTCACATTCAAACTAGTCAGAAGCATCCTCAGAAACTGGTTTGTGATGTGTGCATTCTACTCACAGAGTTGAACCTTCCTTTTGAGAGAACAGTTTTGAAACAATCTTTTTGTACTATCTACAAGTGGATATTTGGAGCAATGGGAGGACTAAGATGGAAAAGGAAATATCTTCACAGCCAAACTTGACAGAAGCTTTCTGAGAATCTGCTTTGTGATGAGTGCATTCACCTCACAGAGTGGAACCGTCCTTTTGATAGAGCAGTTCTGAAACAGTCTTTTTGTAGGATCTGCGAGTGTTCATTTTGGAGAGCTTTTAAGCCTTTGGCGGAAAAGGAAATATCTTCACAGAAAACTAGACAGAGGCATGCTCAGGAACTTCATTGAGATGTGTGCATTCAAGTAACTGAGTTGAATCTGCCTTTTGATAGAGCAGAATTGCAACACTCCTTTTGTAGAATCTGCTTGTGGATATTTGGAACTCTTTCAGGAATTCGTTGGCAGCTGGTATCTTCCCAAAAAAAGGAGAACCAAGCATTCTCACAAAGTTCTTTGAGATGTGTGCCTTAAACTCACAGACTTCAAACTTTCTTTTGAGAGATCAGGGTTGGAACACGCTTTTTGTAGAATCTGCAAGTGTTCATTTAGTGCGCTTTGTTGCCTACGGTGGAAAAAGAAATATCTTCAAATGAAAACTAGACAGAAACATTCTCAGAAACTCCTTTGTGAAGTGTGTGTCAAATTCACAGAATAGAAATTTTCTTTTGACAGAGCAGTTTTGAAACACCGCTTTTATAGGATCTGCTTGTGGATATTTGGAGCTCTTTGAGGATTTCGTTGTAAACGGGATATCTTCACATACAAACTAGGGAGAAGAATTCTCAGAAACTGCTTTGTGATGTGTGCATTCAACTCACAGACTTGAACATTTCTTTTGAAAGAGCAGTGTTGAAACACACATTTTGTAGGATGTGCAAGTGTTCACTTGGAGAGCTTTTTTGCCTATGGTGGAAAAAGCAATATCTTCACATAAATACTAGACAGAAGCATTCTCAGAAACTCCTTTGTGATGTGTTTGTTCTATTCAGAGAGTTGAACCTTTCTTTTGATAGAGCAGTTTTGATAGACTGCTTCTGTAGAATCTGCTTGTGGATATTTGGAGCTCTTTGAGGAATTCGTTGTAAACGGGATATCTTCACATACAAACTAGACACAAGCATTCTCAGAAACTGCTTTGTGGTGTGTGCATTCAACTCACAGAGTTGAACCTTCCTTCTGAGAGAGCAGTTTTTAAACAGTCTCTTTGAAATATCTGCAAGTGGATACTTGGAGCGATGGGAAGTCTAAGATTGAAAAGGAAATATCCTCACATGCAAACTAGACAGAAGCAATCTCATTAACTGCTTTGTGATGTGTGCATTCAGCTCACAGAGTTGAACCTTCCTTTTGAGAGAGCAGTTTTGAAACAGTTTTTTGTAGTATCCTCAAGTGGATATATGGAGCGATGTGAGGCTTAAGATGGAAACGGGAATATCTGCACATACAAACTAGATAGAAGCATTCTCAGAAACTGCTTAGTGATGTGTGCATTCAACTCACAGACTTGAACCTTTCTCTTGAAAGAGCAGTGTTGAAACACACATTTGTAGAATCTGCAAGAGTTCATTTGGAGCGCTTTGATGCCTATGGTGGAAAAAGAAATATCTTCACATAAACACTAGGAAGTAGCGTTCTCCGAAACTCCTTTGTGATATGTGTGTTCAATGCACAGAGGTGAACCTTTCTTTAGATTGAGCAGTTTTGAAACACTGATTTTCTAGAATCTGCTTGTGGATATTTGGAGCTCTTTGAGGAATTCGCTGTCAAAGGGATATCTTCACATACAAACTAGCCAGAAGCATTCTCAG
Organism: Homo sapiens; assembly: GCF_000001405.40. Classification (NCBI taxonomy): domain Eukaryota; kingdom Metazoa; phylum Chordata; class Mammalia; order Primates; family Hominidae; genus Homo; species Homo sapiens. The sequence goes on from NC_000005.10 coordinate 47,129,838, forward strand.
AAACTGCTTTGTGATGTGTGCATTCAACACACGGAGTTGAACCTACCTTCTGAGAGAACAGTTTTCACACAGTCTTTTTGTAGTATCTGCAAGTCGATATTTGGAACGCTTTGAGGCCTATGAGGGAAAAGGAACTATCTTCACATACAAACTAGACAGAAGCATGCTCAGAAACTGCTTTGTGATGTGTGCATTCAACTCACAGAGTTGAACCTTCCTTTTGAGAGAGAGGTTTTGAAACCTTCTTTTTGTAGTATATACAAGTGGATATTTTTAGTGATTTGAGGTCTAAGATGGAAAAGGAAATACCTTCACCTACAAACTAGACAGAAGCATTCTCAGAAACTGCTTTTGATGTGTGCATTAAACGTACAGACTTGAAACCTTATTTTGATAGAGCAGTGTTGAAACACACTTTTTATAGAATCTGCAAGTGTTCATTTGGAGAGCTTCGTTGCCTGTGGTGGAAAAAGAAATGTGTTCACATACAAACTAGAAAGAAGCCTTCTCAGAAACTCCTTTGAGATGTTTGTGTCCAATTCACAAAGTTGAACCTTTCTTTTGATACAGCAGATTTGAAACACTGCTTTTGTAGAATGTGCTTGTGGATATTTGGAGGTCTTTGAGGAATTGGGCGTATACGGGATATCTTCACATACAAATTACACAGAAGCATTCTCAGAAACTGCTTTGTGCTGTGTGCATTCAACTCACAGAGTTGAAACTTTCTTTCGAGAAAGCAGTTCTGAAACAGTGTTTTTGTAGTATCTGCAAGTGGATATTTGGAGCGATTTCAGGCCTATGATGGAAAAGGAAATATGTTCACATACAAACTAGACAGAAGAGTTCTCAGAAACTGCTTTGTGATGTGTGCATTCACCTCACAGAGTGGAACCGTTCTTTGGATAGAGCAGTTTTGAAACAGTCTTTCTCTAGTATCTGCAAGTGTCCATTTTGAGCGCTTTGAGGCCCATGATGGAAAAGGAAATATTTTCACATAAAAACTAGACAGAAGCTTTCTCAGGAACTTCACTGAGATGTGTGCATTAAGGTAACTGGGTGGAATACGTCTTTTGATAGAGCAGTATTGAAACACTTCTTTTGTAGAATCTGCCTGTGGATATCTGGAACTCTTTGAAGAATTCTTTGGAAACGGCTATCTTCACATAAAAAGTAGACCCAAGCATTCTCAGAAAGTTCTTTGTGATATGTACATTGGACTCCCAGACTTGAACCTTTCTTTTGATAGAGCAGTGCTGGAACACACTTTTTGTAGAATCTTCATGTGTTCGTCTGGAGTGCTTTGTTGCCTATGGTAGAAAAAGGAATATCTTCACCTAAAAACAAGACAGAAGCATTCTCAGAGACTGCTTTGTGATGTGTGTGTTCAATTCGCAGAGTTGAAAGTTGCTTTTGATAGAGCAGTTTTGAAACACTGCTTTTGTAGAATCTGCTTGTTGCTATTGGGGGCTCTTTGAGGAATTTGTTGTAAACGGGATATCTTCACATACAAACTAGACAGAAGCATTCTCACAAACTGCTCTGTGATGTGTGCATTCAACTCACAGAGTTGAACCTTCCTTTTGCGAGAGCTGTTTTGAAGCAGTCTTTTTGTGGTGTCTGCAATTGGATATTTGGATCGATTTGAGGCCTAAGATGGAAAAGGAAATATCTTCACATGCAAACTAGACAGAAGCATTCTCAGACACTGCGTTGTGATGTGTGCATTCAACTCACAGAGTTGAACCTTCCTTTTGAGAGCAGTTTTGAAACAGTCTTTTTGAAGTATCTGCAAGTGGATGTTTGGAGATATTTGAGGCCTAAGATGGAAAAGGATATACCTTCATCTAAAAACTAGGCAGAAGCATTCTCAGAAACTGCTTTGTGATGTGGGGATTCAACCCACAGACTTGAAACTTTCTTTTGATAGAGCAGTGTTGAAACACACTTTTTGTAGAATCTGCAAGTGTTCATTTGGAGTGCTTTCTTCCCCATGGTGGAAAAAGAAATATCTTCACCTAAAAACTAGAGAGAAACTTTCTCAGAAAATACTTTGTGATGTAGTTGTTCAATTCACAGGGTTGAACCTTTCTTTAGATAAAGCAGTTTTGAAACACTGCTTTTGTAGAATCTTCTTGTGGATATTTGGAGCTGTTTGAGGAATTCGTTTTAAACGGGATATCTTCACATTCAAACTAGTCAGAAGCATCCTCAGAAACTGGTTTGTGATGTGTGCATTCTACTCACAGAGTTGAACCTTCCTTTTGAGAGAACAGTTTTGAAACAATCTTTTTGTACTCTCTACAAGTGGATATTTGGAGCAATGGGAGGACTAAGATGGAAAAGGAAATATCTTCACAGCCAAACTTGACAGAAGCTTTCTCAGAATCTGCTTTGTGATGTGTGCATTCACCTCACAGAGTGGAACCGTCCTTTTGATAGAGCAGTTCTGAAACAGTCTTTTTGTAGGATCTGCGAGTGTTCATTTTGGAGAGCTTTTAAGCCTTTGGCGGAAAAGGAAATATCTTCACAGAAAACTAGACAGAGTCATGCTCAGGAACTTCATTGAGATGTGTGCATTCAAGTAACTGAGTTGAATCTGCCTTTTGATAGAGCAGAATTGCAACACTCCTTTTGTAGAATCTGCTTGTGGATATTTGGAACTCTTTCAGGAATTCGTTAGCAGCTGGTATCTTCCCAAATAAAGGAGAACCAAGCATTCTCAAAAAGTTCTTTGAGATGTGTGCCTTAAACTCACAGACTTCAAACTTTCTTTTGAGAGATCAGGGTTGGAACACGCTTTTTGTAGAATCTGCAAGTGTTCATTTAGTGCGCTTTGTTGCCTACGGTGGAAAAAGAAATATCTTCAAAGGGAAACTAGACAGAAACATTCTCAGAAACTCCTCTGTGAAGTGTGTGTCAAATTCACAGAATTGAAATTTTCTTTTGATAGAGCAGTTTTGAAACACCGCTTTTATAGGATCTGCTTGTGGATGTTTGGAGCTCTTTGAGGATTTCATTGTAAACGGGATATCTTCACATACAAACTAGACAGAAGCATTCTCAGAAACTGCTTAGTGATGTGTGCATTCAACTCACAGACTTGAACCTTTCTCTTGAAAGAGCAGTGTTGAAACACACATTTTGTAGGATGTGCAAGTGTTCACTTGGAGCGCTTTTTTGCCTATGGTGGAAAAAGAAATATCTTCACATAAATACTAGACAGAAGCATTCTCAGAAACTCCTTTGTGATGTGTTTGTTCTATTCAGAGAGTTGAACTTTTCTTTTGATAGAGCAGTTTTGACACACTGCTTCTGTAGAATCTGCTTGTGGATATTTGGAGCTCTTTGAGGAATTCGTTGTAAACGGGATATCTTCACATACAAACTAGACACAAGCATTCTCAGAAACTGCTTTGTGGTGTGTGCATTCAACTCACAAAGTTGAACCTTCCTTCTGAGAGAGCAGTTTTTAAACAGTCTCCTTGAAATATCTGCAAGTGGATATTTGGAGCGATGGGAAGTCTAAGATTGAAAAGGAAATATCCTCACATACAAACTAGACAGAAGTAATCTCATTAACTGCTTTGTGATGTGTGCATTCAGCTCACAGAATTGAACCTTCCTTTTGAGAGAGCAGTTTTGAAACAGTTTTTTGTAGTATCCTCAAGTGGATATATGGAGCGATGTGAGGCTTAAGGTGGAAACGGGAATATCTTCACATACAAACTAGATAGAAGCATTCTCAGAAACTGCTTTGTGATGGGTGCATTCAACTCAGAGACTTGAACATTTCTTTAGACGGTGCAGTGTTGATACACACATTTGTAGAATCTGCAAGAGTTCATTTGGAGCGCTTTGATGCCTATGGTGGAAAAAGAAATATCTTCACATAAACACTAAAAAGAAGCGTTCTCCGAAACTCCTTTGTGATATGTGTGTTCAATGCACAGAGGTGAACCTTTCTTTAGATTGAGCAGTTTTGAAACACTGATTTTCTAGAATCTGCTTGTGGATATTTGGAGCTCTTTGAGGAATTCGCTGTCAATGGGATATCTTCACATACAAACTAGCCAGAAGCATTCTCAGAAACTGCTTTGTGATGTGTGCATTCAACACACGGAGTTGAACCTTCCTTCTGAGAGAACAGTTTTCAAACAGTCTTTTTGTAGTATCTGCAAGTCGATATTTGGAACGCTTTGAGGCCTATGAGGGAAAAGGAACTATCTTCACATACAAACTAGACAGAAGCATGCTCAGAAACTGCTTTGTGATGTTTGCATTCAACTCACAGAGTTGAACCTTCCTTTTGAGAGAGAGGTTTTGAAAACTTCTTTTTGTAGTATATACAAGTGGATATTTTCAGTGATTTGAGGTCTAAGATGGAAAAGGAAATACCTTCACCTACAAACTAGACAGAAGCATTCTCAGAAACTGCTTTTGATGTGTGCATTAAACGTACAGACTTGAAACCTTATTTTGATAGAGCAGTGTTGAAACACACTTTTTATAGAATCTGCAAGTGTTCATTTGGAGAGCTTCGTTGCCTGTGGTGGAAAAAGAAATGTGTTCACATACAAACTAGAAAGAAGCCTTCTCAGAAACTCCTTTGAGATGTTTGTGTCCAATTCACAAAGTTGAACCTTTCTTTTGATACAGCAGATTTGAAACACTGCTTTTGTAGAATGTGCTTGTGGATATTTGGAGGTCTTTGAGGAATTGGGCGTATACGGGATATCTTCACATACAAATTACACAGAAGCATTCTCAGAAACTGCTTTGTGCTGTGTGCATTCAACTCACAGAGTTGAAACTTTCTTTCGAGAAAGCAGTTCTGAAACAATCTTTTTGTAGTATCTGCAAGTGGATATTTGGAGCGATTTGAGGCCTATGATGGAACAGGAAATATATTCACATACAAACTAGACAGAAGAGTTCTCAGAAACTGCTTTGTGATGTGTGCATTCACCTCACAGAGTGGAACCGTTCTTTGGATAGAGCAGTTTTGAGACAGTCTTTCTCTAGTATCTGCAAGTGTTCATTTTGAGCGCTTTGAGGCCCATGATGGAAAAGGAAATATTTTCACATAAACCTAGACCGAAGCTTTCTCAGGAACTTCATAGAGATGTGTGCATTAAAGTAACTGAGTTGAATACGTCTTTTGATAGAGCAGTATTGAAACACTTCTTTTGTAGTATCTGTCTGTGAATATCTGGAACTCTTTGAAGAATTCTTTGGAAACGGCTATCTTCACATAAAAAGTAGACCCAAGCATTCTCAGAAAGTTCTTTGTGATATGTACATTGGACTCCCAGACTTGAACCTTTCTTTTGATAGAGCAGTGTTGGAACACACTTTTTGTAGAATCTTCATGTGTTCGTTTGGAGTGCTTTGTTGCCTCTGGTGGAAAAAGGAATATCTTCACCTAAAAACCAGACAGAAGCATTCTCAGAGACTGCTTTGTGATGTGTGTGTTCAATTCGCAGAGTTGAAAGTTGCTTTTGATAGAGCAGTTTTGAAACACTGCTTTTGTAGAATCTGCTTGTTGCTATTGGGGGCTCTTTGAGGAATTTGTTGTAAACGGGATATCTTCACATACAAACTAGACAGAAGCATTCTCAGAAACTGCTCTGTGATGTGTGCATTCAACTCACAGAGTTGAACCTTCCTTTTGCGAGAGCTGTTTTGAAGCAGTCTTTTTGTGGTATCTGCAATTGGATATTTGGATCGATTTGAGGCCTAAGATGGAAAAGGAAATATCTCCACATACAAACTAGACAGAAGCATTCTCAGACACTGCGTTGTGATGTATGCATTCAACTCACAGAGTTGAACCTTCTTTTTGAGAGCAGTTTTGAAACAGTCTTTTTGAAGTATCTGCAAGTGGATGTTTGGAGAGATTTGAGGCCTAAGATGGAAAAGGATATACCTTCACCTAAAAACTAGGCAGAAGCATTCTCAGAAACTGCTTTGTGATGTGGGGATTCAACCCACAGACTTGAAACTTTCTTTTGATAGAGCAGTGTTGAAACACACTTTTTGTAGAATCTGCAAGTGTTCATTTGGAGTGCTTTCTTCCCCATGGTGGAAAAAGAAATATCTTCACCTAAAAACTAGACAGAAACATTCTGAGAAAATACTTTGTGATGTAGTTGTTCAATTCACAGGGTTGAACCTTTCTTTAGATAAAGCAGTTTTGAAACACTGCTTTTGTAGAATCTTCTTGTGGATATTTGGAGCTGTTTGAGGAATTCGTTTTAAACGGGATATCTTCACATTCAATCTAGTCAGAAGCATCCTCAGAAACTGGTTTGTGATGTGTGCATTCTACTCACAGAGTTGAACCTTCCTTTTGAGAGAACAGTTTTGAAACAATCTTTTTGTACTATCTGCAAGTGGATATTTGGAACAATGGGAGGACTAAGATGGAAAAGGAAATATCTTCACAGCCAAACTTGACAGAAGCTTTCTCAGAATCTGCTTTGTGATGTGTGCATTCACCTCACAGAGTGGAACCGTCCTTTTGATAGAGCAGTTCTGAAACAGTCTTTTTGTAGGATCTGCGAGTGTTCATTTTGGAGCGCTTTTAAGCCTTTGGCGGAAAAGGAAATATCTTCACAGAAAACTAGACAGAGGCATGCTCAGGAACTTCATTGAGATGTGTGCATTCAAGTAACTGAGTTGAATCTGCCTTTTGATAGAGCAGAATTGCAACACTCCTTTTGTAGAATCTGCTTGTGGATATTTGGAACTCTTTCAGGAATTCGTTGGCAGCTGGTATCTTCCCAAAAAAAGGAGAACCAAGCATTCTCACAAAGTTCTTTGAGATGTGTGCCTTAAACTCACAGACTTCAAACTTTCTTTTGAGAGATCAGGGTTGGAACACGCTTTTTGTAGAATCTGCAAGTGTTCATTTAGTGCGCTTTGTTGCCTACGGTGGAAAAAGAAATATCTTCAAATGAAAACTAGACAGAAACATTCTCAGAAACTCCTTTGTGAAGTGTGTGTCAAATTCACAGAATTGAAATTTTCTTTTGATAGAGCAGTTTTGAAACACCGCTTTTATAGGATCTGCTTGTGGATATTTGGAGCTCTTTGAGGATTTCGTTGTAAACGGGATATCATCACATACAAACTAGACAGAAGCATTCTCAGAAACTGCTTAGTGATGTGTGCATTCAACTCACAGACTTGAACCTTTCTCTTGAAAGAGCAGTGTTGAAACACACATTTTGTAGGATGTGCAAGTGTTCACTTGGAGCGTTTTTTTGCCTATGGTGGATAAAGAAATATCTTCACATACAAACTAGACAGAAGCATTCTCAGAAACTCCTTTGTGATGTGTTTGTTCTATTCAGAGAGTTAAACCTTTCTTTTGATAGAGCAGTTTTGATACACTGCTTCTGTAGAATCTGCTTGTGGATATTTGGAGCTCTTTGAGGAATTCGTTGTAAACGGGATATCTTCACATACAAACTAGACACAAGCATTCTCAGAAACTGCTTTGTGGTGTGTGCATTCAACTCACAGAGTTGGACCTTCCTTCTGAGAGAGCAGTTTTTAAACAGTCTCTTTGAAATATCTGCAAGTGGATACTTGGAGCGATGGGAAGTCTAAGATTGAAAAGGAAATATCCTCACATGCAAACTAGACAGAAGCAATCTCATTAACTGCTTTGTGATGTGTGCATTCAGCTCACAGAGTTGAACCTTCCTTTTGAGAGAGCAGTTTTGAAACAGTTTTTTGTAGTATCCTCAAGTGGATATATGGAGCGATGTGAGGCTTAAGATGGAAACGGGAATATCTGCACATACAAACTAGGTAGAAGCATTCTCAGCAAACTGCTTTGTGATGGGTGCATTCAACTCAGAGACTTGAACATTTCTTTAGACGGAGCAGTGTTGAAACACACATTTGTAGAATCTGCAAGAGTTCATTTGGAGCGCTTTGATGCCTATGGTGGAAAAAGAAATATCTTCACATAAACACTAGAAAGAAGCGTTCTCCGAAACTCCTTTGTGATATGTGTGTTCAGTTCACAGAGTTGAACCTTTCTTTTGATTGAGCAGTTTTGAAACACTGATTTTCTAGAATCTGCTTGTGGATATTTGGAGCTCTTTGAGGAATTCGCTGTCAAAGGGATATCTTCACATACAAACTAGCCAGAAGCATTCTCAGAAACTGCTTTGTGATGTGTGCATTCAACACACGGAGTTGAACCTTCCTTCTGAGAGAACAGTTTTCAAACAGTCTTTTTGTAGTATCTGCAAGTCGATATGTGGAACGCTTTGAGGCCTATGAGGGAAAAGGAACTATCTTCACATACAAACTAGACAGAAGCATGCTCAGAAACTGCTTTGTGATGTGTGCATTCAACTCACAGAGTTGAACCTTCCTTTTGAGAGAGAGGTTTTGAAACCTTCTTTTTGTAGTATATACAAGTGGATATTTTCAGTGATTTGAGGTCTAAGATGGAAAAGGGAATACCTTCACCTACAAACTAGACAGAAGCATTCTCAGAAACGGCTTTTGATGTGTGCATTAAACGTACAGACTTGAAACCTTATTTTGATAGAGCAGTGTTGAAACACACTTTTTATAGAATCGGCAAGTATTCATTTGCAGAGCTTCGTTGCCTGTGGTGGAAAAAGAAATGTGTTCACCTACAAACTAGAAAGAAGCCTTCTCAGAAACTCCTTTGAGATGTTTGTGTCCAATTCACAAAGTTGAACCTTTCTTTTGATACAGCAGATTTGAAACACTGCTTTTGTAGAATGTGCTTGTGGATATTTGGAGGTCTTTGAGGAATTGGGCGTATACGGGATATCTTCACATACAAATTACACAGAAGCATTCTCAGAAACTGCTTTGTGCTGTGTGCATTCAACTCACAGAGTTGAAACTTTCTTTTGAGAAAGCAGTTCTGAAACAGTCTTTGTGTAGTATCTGCAAGTGGATATTTGGAGCGCTTTGAGGCCCATGATGGAAAAGGAAATATTTTCACATAAAAACTAGACAGAAGCGTTCTCAGAAACTGCTTTGTGATGTGTGCATTCACCTCACAGAGTGGAACCGTTCTTTGGATAGAGCAGTTTTGAAACAGTCTTTCTCTAGTATCTGCAAGTGTCCATTTTGAGCACTTTGAGGCCCATGATGGAAAAGGAAATATTTTCACATAAAAACTAGACAGAAGCTTTCTCAGGAACTTCATTGAGATGTGTGCATTAAAGTAACTGAGTTGAATACGTCTTTTGATAGAGCAGTATTGAAACACTTCTTTTGTAGAATCTGCCTGTGGATATCTGGAACTCTTTGAAGAATTCTTTGGAAACGGCTATCTTCACATAAAAAGTAGACCCAAGCATTCACAGAACGTTCTTTGTGACATGTACATTGGACTCCCAGACTTGAAACTTTCTTTTGATAGAGCAGTGTTGGAACACACTTTTTGTAGAATCTTCATGTGTTCGTTTGGAGTGCTCTGTTGCCTATGGTGGAAAAAGGAATATCTTCACCTAAAAACCAGACAGAAGCATTCTCAGAGACTGCTTTGTGATGTGTGTGTTCAATTCGCAGAGTTGAAAGTTGCTTTGGATAGAGCAGTTTTGAAACACTGCTTTTGTAGAATCTGCTTGTTGCTATTGGGGGCTCTTTGAGGAATTTGTTGTAAACGGGATATCTTCACATACAAAGTAGACAGAAGCATTCTCAGAAACTGCTCTGTGATGTGTGCATTCAACTCACAGAGTTGAACCTTCCTTTTGCGAGAGCTGTTTTGAAGCAGTCTTTTTGTGGTATCTGCAATTGGATATTTGGATCGATTTGAGGCCTAAGATGGAAAAGGAAATATCTCCACATACAAACTAGACAGAAGCGTTCTCAGACACTGCGTTGTGATGTGTGCATTCAACTCACAGAGTTGAACCTTCCTTTTGAGAGCAGTTTTGAAACAGTCTTTTTGAAGTATCTGCAAGTGGATGTTTGGAGAGATTTGAGGCCTAAGATGGAAAAGGATATACCTTCACCTGAAAACTAGGCAGAAGCATTCTCAGAAACTGCTTTGTGATGTGGGGATTCAACTCACAGGCTTGAAACTTTCTTTTGATACAGCAGGGTTCAAACACACTTTTTGTAGAATCTGCAAGTGTTCATTTGGAGTGCTTTCTTGCCCATGGTGGAAAAAGAAATATCTTCACCTGAAAACTAGACAGAAACTTTCTCAGAAAATACTTTGTGATGTAGTTGTTCAATTCACAGGGTTGAACCTTTCTTTAGATAAAGCAGTTTTGAAACACTGCTTTTGTAGAATCTTCTTGTGGATATTTGGAGCTGTTTGAGGAATTCGTTTTAAACGGGATATCTTCACATTCAAACTAGTCAGAAGCATCCTCAGAAACTGGTTTGTGATGTGTGCATTCTACTCACAGAGTTGAACCTTCCTTTTGAGAGAACAGTTTTGAAACAATCTTTTTGTACTATCTGCAAGTGGATATTTGGAACAATGGGAGGACTAAGATGGAAAAGGAAATATCTTCACAGCCAAACTTGACAGAAGCTTTCTCAGAATCTGCTTTGTGATGTGTGCATTCACCTCACAGAGTGGAACCGTCCTTTTGATAGAGCAGTTCTGAAACAGTCTTTTTGTAGGATCTGCGAGTGTTCATTTTGGAGAGCTTTTAAGCCTTTGGCGGAAAAGGAAATATCTTCACAGAAAACTAGACAGAGGCATGCTCAGGAACTTCATTGAGATGTGTGCATTCAAGTAACTGAGTTGAATCTGCCTTTTGATAGAGCAGAATTGCAACACTCCTTTTGTAGAATCTGCTTGTGGATATTTGGAACTCTTTCAGGAATTCGTTGGCAGCTGGTATCTTCCCAAAAAAAGGAGAACCAAGCATTCTCACAAAGTTCTTTGAGATGTGTGCCTTAAACTCACAGACTTCAAACTTTCTTTTGAGAGATCAGGGTTGGAACACGCTTTTTATAGAATCTGCAAGTGTTCATTTAGTGCGCTTTGTTGCCTACGGTGGAAAAAGAAATATCTTCCAATGAAAACTAGACAGAAACATTCTCAGAAACTCCTTTGTGAAGTGTGTGTCAAATTCACAGAATAGAAATTTTCTTTTGACAGAGCAGTTTTGAAACACCGCTTTTATAGGATCTGCTTGTGGATATTTGGAGCTCTTTGAGGATTTCGTTGTAAACGGGATATCTTCACATACAAACTAGGGAGAAGCATTCTCAGAAACTGCTTAGTGATGTGTGCATTCAACTCACAGACTTGAACCTTTCTCTTGAAAGAGCAGTGTTGAAACACACATTTTGTAGGATGTGCAAGTGTTCGCTTGGAGCGTTTTTTTCCCTATGGTGGAAAAAGAAATATCGTCACATAAATACTAGACAGAAGCATTCTCAGAAACTCCTTTGTGATGTGTTTGTTCTATTCAGAGAGTTGAACCTTTCTTTTGATAGAGCAGTTTTGATACACTGCTTCTGTAGAATCTGCTTGTGGATATTTGGAGCTCTTTGAGGAATTCGTTGTAAACGGGATATCTTCACATACAAACTAGACACAAGCATTCTCAGAAACTGCCTTGTGGTGTGTGCATTCAACTCACATAGGTGAACCTTCCTTCTGAGAGAGCAGTTTTTAAACAGTCTCTTTGAAATAACTGCAAGTGGATATTTGGAGCGATGGGAAGTCTAAGATTGAAAAGGAAATATCCTCACATACAAACTAGACAGAAGCAATCTCATTAACTGCTTTGTGATGTGTGCATTCAGCTCACAGAGTTGAACCTTCCTTTTGAGAGAGCAGTTTTGAAACAGTTTTTTGTAGTATCCTCAAGTGGATATATGGAGCGATGTGAGGCTTAAGATGGAAACGGGAATATCTTCACATACAAACTAGATAGAAGCATTCTCAGAAACTGCTTTGTGATGGGTGCATTCAACTCAGAGACTTGAACATTTCTTTAGACGGAGCAGTTTGAAACACACATTTGTAGAATCTGCAAGAGTTCATTTGGAGCGCTTTGATGCCTATGGTGGAAAAAGAAATATCTTCACATAAGCACTACAAAGAAGCGTTCTCCGAAACTCCTTTGTGATATGTGTGTTCAATTCACAGAGTTGAACCTTTCTTTTGATTGAGCAGTTTTGAAACACTGCTTTTCTAGAATCTGCTTGTGGATATTTGGAGCTCTTTGAGGAATTCGCTGTCAATGGGATATCTTCACACACAAACTAGCCAGAAGCATTCTCAGAAACTGCTTTGTGATGTGTGCATTCAACACACGGAGTTGAACCTTCCTTCTGAGAGAACAGTTTTGAAACAGTCTTTTTGTAGTATCTGCAAGTCGATATTTGGAATGCTTTGAGGCCTATGAGGGAAAAGGAACTATCTTCACATACAAACTAGACAGAAGCATGCTCAGAAACTGCTTTGTGATGTGTGCATTCAACTCACAGAGTTGAACCTTCCTTTTGAGAGAGAGGTTTTGAAACAGTCTTTTTGTAGTATATACAGGTGGATATTTTTAGTGATTTGTGGTCTAAGATGGAAAAGGGAATACCTTCACCTACAAACTAGACAGAAGCATTCTCAGAAACTGCTTTTGATGTGTGCATTAAACGTACAGACTTGAAACCTTATTTTGATAGAGCAGTGTTGAAACACACTTTTTATAGAATCGGCAAGTGTTCATTTGGAGAGCTTCGTTGCCTGTGGTGGAAAAAGAAATGAGTTCACATACAAACTAGAAAGAAGCCTTCTCAGAAACTCCTTTGAGATGTTTGTGTCCAATTCACAAAGTTGAACCTTTCTTTTGATACAGCAGATTTGAAACACTGCTTTTGTAGAATGTGCTTGTGGATATTTGGAGGTCTTTGAGGAATTGGGCGTATACGGGATATCTTCACATACAAATTACACAGAAGCATTCTCAGAAACTGCTTTGTGCTGTGTGCATTCAACTCACAGAGTTGAAACTTTCTTTTGAGAAAGCAGTTCTGAAACAGTCTTTGTGTAGTATCTGGAAGTGGATATTTGGAGCGCTTTGAGGCCCATGATGGAAAAGGAAATATTTTCACATAAAAACTAGACAGAAGCTTTCTCAGGAACTTCATTGAGATGTGTGCATTAAAGTAACTGAGTTGAATACGTCTTTTGATAGAGTAGTATTGAAACACTTCTTTTGTAGAATCTGCCTGTGGATATCTGGAACTCTTTGAAGAATTCTTTGGAAACGGCTATCTTCACATAAAAAGTAGACCCAAGCATTCTCAGAAAGTTCTTTGCGATATGTACATTGGACTCCCAGACTTGAACCTTTCTTTTGATAGAGCAGTGTTGGAACACACTTTTTGTAGAATCTTCATGTGTTCCTTTGGAGTGCTTTGTTGCCTATGTTGGAAAAAGGAATATCTTCACCTAAAAACCAGACAGAAGCATTCTCAGAGACTGCTTTGTGATGTGTGTGTTCAATTCGCAGAGTTGAAAGTTGCTTTTGATAGAGCAGTTTTGAAACACTGCTTTTGTAGAATCTGCTTGTTGCTATTGGGGGCTCTTTGAGGAATTTGTTGTAAACGGGATATCTTCACATACAAACTAGACAGAAGCATTCTCAGAAACTGCTCTGTGATGTGCGCATTCAACTCACAGAGTTGAACCTTCCTTTTGCGAGAGCTGTTTTGAAGCAGTCTTTTTGTGGTGTCTGCAATTGGATATTTGGATCGATTTGAGGCCTAAGATGGAAAAGGAAATATCTTCACATACAAACTAGACATAAGCATTCTCAGACACTGCGTTGTGATGTGTGCATTCAACTCACAGAGTTGAACCTTCCTTTTGAGAGCAGTTTTGAAACAGTCTTTTTGAAGTATCTGCAAGTGGATGTTTGGAGATATTTGAGGCCTAAGATGGAAAAGGATATACCTTCATCTAAAAACTAGGCAGAAGCATTCTCAGAAACTGCTTTGTGATGTGGGGATTCAACCCACAGACTTGAAACTTTCTTTTGATAGAGCAGTGTTGAAACACACTTTTTGTAGAATCTGCAAGTGTTCATTTGGAGTGCTTTCTTCCCCATGGTGGAAAAAGAAATATCTTCACCTAAAAACTAGACAGAAACATTCTGAGAAAATACTTTGTGATGTAGTTGTTCAATTCACAGGGTTGAACCTTTCTTTAGATAAAGCAGTTTTGAAACACTGCTTTTGTAGAATCTTCTTGTGGATATTTGGAGCTGTTGGAGGAATTCGTTTTAAACGGGATATCTACACATTCAATCTAGTCAGAAGCATCCTCAGAAACTGGTTTGTGATGTGTGCATTCTACTCACAGAGTTGAACCTTCCTTTTGAGAGAACAGTTTTGAAACAATCTTTTTGTACTATCTACAAGTGGATATTTGGAGCAATGGGAGGACTAAGATGGAAAAGGAAATATCTTCACAGCCAAACTTGACAGAAGCTTTCTGAGAATCTGCTTTGTGATGAGTGCATTCACCTCACAGAGTGGAACCGTCCTTTTGATAGAGCAGTTCTGAAACAGTCTTTTTGTAGGATCTGCGAGTGTTCATTTTGGAGAGCTTTTAAGCCTTTGGCGGAAAAGGAAATATCTTCACAGAAAACTAGACAGAGGCATGCTCAGGAACTTCATTGAGATGTGTGCATTCAAGTAACTGAGTTGAATCTGCCTTTTGATAGAGCAGAATTGAAACAATCCTTTTGTAGAATCTACTTGTGGATATTTGGAACTCTTTCAGGAATTCGTTGGTAGTTGGTATCTTCCCAAAAAAAGGAGACCCAAGCATTCTCAAAAAGTTCTTTGAGATGTGTGCCTTAAACTCACAGACTTCAAACTTTCTTTTGAGAGATCAGGGTTGGAACACGCTTTTTGTAGAATCTGCAAGTGTTCATTTAGTGCGCTTTGTTGCCTACGGTGGAAAAAGAAATATCTTCAAAGGGAAACTAGACAGAAACATTCTCAGAAACTCCTTTGTGAAGTGTGTGTCAAATTCACAGAATTGAAATTTTCTTTTGATAGAGCAGTTTTGAAACACCGCTTTTATAGGATCTGCTTGTGGATATTTGGAGCTCTTTGAGGATTTCGTTTTAAACGGAATATCTTCACATACAAACTAGACAGAAGCATTCTCAGAAACTGCTTAGTGATGTGTGCATTCAACTCACAGACTTGAACCTTTCTCTTGAAAGAGCAGTGTTGAAACACACATTTTGTAGGATGTGCAAGTGTTCGCTTGGAGCGTGTTTTTGTCTATGGTGGAAAAAGAAATATCTTCACATAAATACTAGACAGAATCATTCTCAGAAACTCCTTTGTGATGTGTTTGTTCTATTCAGAGAGTTGAACCTTTCTTTTGATAGAGCAGTTTTGATACACTGCTTTTGTAGAATCTGCTTGTGGATATTTGGAGCTCTTTGAGGAATTCGTTGTAAACGGGATATCTTCACATACAAACTAGACCCAAGCATTCTCAGAAACTGCTTTGTGGTGGGTGCATTCAACTCACAGAGTTGAACCTTCCTTCTGAGAGAGCAGTTTTTAAACAGTCTCTTTGAAATATCTGCAAGTGGATATTTGGAGCGATGGGAAGTCTAAGATTAAAAAGGAAATATCCTCACATACAAACTAGACAGAAGCAATCTCATTAACTTCTTTGTGATGTGTGCATTCAGCTCACAGAGTTGAACCTTCCTTTTGAGAGAGCAGTTTTGAAACAGTTTTTTGTAGTATCCTCAAGTAGATATATGGAGCGACGTGAGGCTAAAGATGGAAACGGGAATATCTTCACATACAAACTAGATAGAAGCATTCTCAGAAACTGCTTTGTGATGGGTGCATTCAACACAGAGACTTGAACATTTCTTTAGACGGGGCAGTGTTGAAACACAAATTTGTAGAATCTGCAAGAGTTCCTTTGGAACGCTTTGATGCCTATGGTGGAAAAAGAAATATCTTCACATAAAGACTCGAAAGAAGCGTTCTCCGAAAATCCTTTGTGATATGTGTGTTCAATGCACAGAGGTGAACCTTTCTTTAGATTGAGCAGTTTTGAAACACTGCTTTTCTAGAATCTGCTTGTGGATATTTGGAGCTCTTTGAGGAATTCGCTGTCAAAGGGATATCTTGACATACAAACTAGCCAGAAGCATTCTCAGAAACTGCTTTGTGATGTGTGCATTCAACACACGGAGTTGAACCTTCCTTCTGAGAGAACAGTTTTCAAACAGTCTTTTTGTAGTATCTGCAAGTCGATATTTGGAACGCTTTGAGGCCTATGAGGGAAAAGGAACTATCTTCACATACAAACTAGACAGAAGCATGCTCAGAAACTGCTTTGTGATGTGTGCATTCAACTCACAGAGTTGAACCTTCCTTTTGAGAGAGAGGTTTTGAAACCTTCTTTTTGTAGTATATACAAGTGGATATTTTTAGTGATTTGAGGTCTAAGATGGAAAAGGGAATACCTTCACCTACAAACTAGACAGAAGCATTCTCAGAAACTGCTTTTGATGTGTGCATTAAACGTACAGACTTGAAACCTTATTTTGATAGAGCAGTGTTGAAACACACTTTTTATAGAATCTGCAAGTGTTCATTTGGAGAGCTTCGTTGCCTGTGGTGGAAAAAGAAATGTGTTCACATACAAACTAGAAAGAAGCCTTCTCAGAAACTCCTTTGAGATGTTTGTGTCCAATTCACAAAGTTGAACCTTTCTTTTGATACAGCAGATTTGAAACACTGCTTTTGTAGAATGTGCTTGTGGATATTTGGAGGTCTTTGAGGAATTGGGCGTATGCGGGATATCTTCACATACAAATTACACAGAAGCATTCTCAGAAACTGCTTTGTGCTGTGTGCATTCAACTCACAGAGTTGAAACTTTCTTTTGAGAAAGCAGTTCTGAAACAGTCTTTTTGTAGTATCTGCAAGTGGATATTTGGAGCGATTTGAGGCCTATGATGGAAAAGGAAATATGTTCACATACAAACTAGACAGAAGAGTTTTCAGAAACTGCTTTGTGATGTGTGCATTCACCTCACAGAGTGGAACCGTTCTTTGGATAGAGCAGTTTTGAAACAGTCTTTCTCTAGTATCTGCAAGTGTCCATTTTGAGCGCTTTGAGGCCCATGATGGAAAAGGAAATATTTTCACATAAAAACTAGACAGAAGCTTTCTCAGGAACTTCATTGAGATGTGTGCATTAAAGTAACTGAGTTGAATACGTCTTTTGATAGAGTAGTATTGAAACACTTCTTTTGTAGAATCTGCCTGTGGATATCTGGAACTCTTTGAAGAATTCTTTGGAAACGGCTATCTTCACATAAAAAGTAGACCCAAGCATTCTCAGAAAGTTCTTTGCGATATGTACATTGGACTCCCAGACTTGAACCTTTCTTTTGATAGAGCAGTGTTGGAACACACTTTTTGTAGAATCTTCATGTGTTCCTTTGGAGTGCTTTGTTGCCTATGTTGGAAAAAGGAATATCTTCACCTAAAAACCAGACAGAAGCATTCTCAGAGACTGCTTTGTGATGTGTGTGTTCAATTCGCAGAGTTGAAAGTTGCTTTTGATAGAGCAGTTTTGAAACACTGCTTTTGTAGAATCTGCTTGTTGCTATTGGGGGCTCTTTGAGGAATTTGTTGTAAACGGGATATCTTCACATACAAACTAGACAGAAGCATTCTCAGAAACTGCTCTGTGATGTGCGCATTCAACTCACAGAGTTGAACCTTCCTTTTGCGAGAGCTGTTTTGAAGCAGTCTTTTTGTGGTGTCTGCAATTGGATATTTGGATCGATTTGAGGCCTAAGATGGAAAAGGAAATATCTTCACATACAAACTAGACATAAGCATTCTCAGACACTGCGTTGTGATGTGTGCATTCAACTCACAGAGTTGAACCTTCCTTTTGAGAGCAGTTTTGAAACAGTCTTTTTGAAGTATCTGCAAGTGGATGTTTGGAGATATTTGAGGCCTAAGATGGAAAAGGATATACCTTCATCTAAAAACTAGGCAGAAGCATTCTCAGAAACTGCTTTGTGATGTGGGGATTCAACTCACAGACTTGAAACTTTCTTTTGATAGAGCAGTGTTGAAACACACTTTTTGTAGAATCTGCAAGTGTTCATTTGGAGTGCTTTCTTCCCCATGGTGGAAAAAGAAATATCTTCACCTAAAAACTAGACAGAAACATTCTCAGAAAATACTTTGTGATGTAGTTGTTCAATTCACAGGGTTGAACCTTTCTTTAGATAAAGCAGTTTTGAAACACTGCTTTTGTAGAATCTTCTTGTGGATATTTGGAGCTGTTGGAGGAATTCGTTTTATAGGAGATATCTTCACATTCAAACTAGTCAGAAGCATCCTCAGAAACTGGTTTGTGATGTGTGCATTCTACTCACAGAGTTGAACCTTCCTTTTGAGAGAACAGTTTTGAAACAATCTTTTTGTACTCTCTACAAGTGGATATTTGGAGCAATGGGAGGACTAAGATGGAAAAGGAAATATCTTCACAGCCAAACTTGACAGAAGCTTTCTCAGAATCTGCTTTGTGATGTGTGCATTCACCTCACAGAGTGGAACCGTCCTTTTGATAGAGCAGTTCTGAAACAGTCTTTTTGTAGGATCTGCGAGTGTTCATTTTGGAGAGCTTTTAAGCCTTTGGCGGAAAAGGAAATATCTTCACAGAAAACTAGACAGAGGCATGCTCAGGAACTTCATTGAGATGTGTGCATTCAAGTAACTGAGTTGAATCTGCCTTTTGATAGAGCAGAATTGCAACACTCCTTTTGTAGAATCTGCTTGTGGATATTTGGAACTCTTTCAGGAATTCGTTGGCAGCTGGTATCTTCCCAAAAAAAGGAGAACCAAGCATTCTCACAAAGTTCTTTGAGATGTGTGCCTTAAACTCACAGACTTCAAACTTTCTTTTGAGAGATCAGGGTTGGAACACGCTTTTTGTAGAATCTGCAAGTGTTCATTTAGTGCGCTTTGTTGCCTACGGTGGAAAAAGAAATATCTTCAAATGAAAACTAGACAGAAACATTCTCAGAAACTCCTTTGTGAAGTGTGTGTCAAATTCACAGAATTGAAATTTTCTTTTGATAGAGCAGTTTTGAAACACTGCTTTTATAGGATCTGCTTGTGGATATTTGGAGCTCTTTGAGGATTTCGTTGTAAACGGGATATCTTCACAAACAAACTAGGCAGAAGCATTCTCAGAAACTGCTTAGTGATGTGTGCATTCAACTCACAGACTTGAACCTTTCTCTTGAAAGAGCAGTGTTGAAACACACGTTTTGTAGGATGTGCAAGTGTTCGCTTGGAGCGTTTTTTTCCCTATGGTGGAAAAAGAAATATCTTCACATAAATACTAGACAGAATCATTCTCAGAAACTCCTTTGTGATGTGTTTGTTCTATTCAGAGAGTTGAACCTTTCTTTTGATAGAGCAGTTTTGATACACTGCTTTTGTAGAATCTGCTTGTGGATATTTGGAGCTCTTTGAGGAATTCGTTGTAAACGGGATATCTTCACATACAAACTAGACCCAAGCATTCTCAGAAACTGCTTTGTGGTGTGTGCATTCAACTCACAGAGTTGAACCTTCCTTCTGAGAGAGCAGTTTTTAAACAGTCTCTTTGAAATATCTGCAAGTGGATACTTGGAGCGATGGGAAGTCTAAGATTGAAAAGGAAATATCCTCACATACAAACTAGACAGAAGCAATCTCATTTACTGCTTTGTGATGTGTGCATTCAGCTCACAGAGTTGAACCTTCCTTTTGAGAGAGCAGTTTTGAAACAGTTTTTTGTAGTATCCTCAAGTGGATATATGGAGCGATGTGAGGCTTAACATGGAAACGGGAATATCTTCACATAGAAACTAGATAGAAGCATTCTCAGAAACTGCTTTGTGATGGGTGCATTCAACACAGAGACTTGAACATTTCTTTAGACGGGGCAGTGTTGAAACACAAATTTGTAGAATCTGCAAGAGTTCCTTTGGAACGCTTTGATGCCTATGGTGGAAAAAGAAATATCTTCACATAAAGACTCGAAAGAAAGCGTGCTCCGAAACTCCTTTGTGATATGTGTGTTCAATGCACAGAGGTGAACCTTTCTTTAGATTGAGCAGTTTTGAAACACTGATTTTCTAGAATCTGCTGGTGGATATTTGGAGCTCTTTGAGGAATTCGCTGTCAATGGGATATCTTCACATACAAACTAGCCAGAAGCATTCTCAGAAACTGCTTTGTGATGTGTGCATTCAACACACGGAGTTGAACCTTCCTTCTGAGAGAACAGTTTTCAAACAGTCTTTTTGTAGTATCTGCAAGTCGATATTTGGAACGCTTTGAGGCCTATGAGGGAAAAGGAACTATCTTCACATACAAACTAGACAGAAGCATGCTCAGAAACTGCTTTGTGATGTGTGCATTCAACTCACAGAGTTGAACCTTCCTTTTGAGAGAGAGGTTTTGAAACAGTCTTTTTGTAGTATATACAGGTGGATATTTTTAGTGATTTGTGGTCTAAGATGGAAAAGGGAATACCTTCACCTACAAACTAGACAGAAGCATTCTCAGAAACTGCTTTGTGATGTGTGCATTAAATGTACAGACTTGAAACCTTATTTTGATAGAGCAGTGTTGAAACACACTTTTTATAGAATCTGCAAGTGTTCATTTTGAGAGCTTTGTTGCCTGTGGTGGAAAAAGAAATGTGTTCACATACAAACTAGAAAGAAGCCTTCTCAGAAACTCCTTTGAGATGTTTGTGTCCAATTCACAAAGTTGAACCTTTCTATTGATACAGCAGATTTGAAACTCTGCTTTTGTAGAATCTGCTTGTGAATATTTGGAGGTATTTGAGGAATTGGACGTATACGGGATATCTTCACATACAAATTACACAGAAGCATTCTCAGAAACTGCTTTGTGATGTGTGCATTCAACTAACAGAGTTGAAACTTTCTCTTGAGAAAGCAGTATTGAAACAGTCTTTCTGTAGTATCTGCCAGGGGATATTTGGAGCGATTTGAGGCCTATGATGGAAAAGGAAATACGTTCACATACAACCTAGACAGAAGCGTTCTCAGAAACTGCTTTGTGATGTGTGCATTCACCTCACAGAGTGGAACCGTTCTTTGGATAGAGCAGTTTTGAAACAGTCTTTCTCTAGTATCTGCAAGTGTTCATTTTGAGCGCTTTGAGGCCCATGATGGAAAAGGAAATATTTTCACATAAAAACTAGACAGAAGCTTTCTCAGGACCTTCACTGAGATGTGTGCATTAAAGTAACTGAGTGGAATACGTCTTTTGATAGAGCAGTATTGAAACACTTCTTTTGTAGAATCTGCCTGTGGATATCTGGAACTCTTTGAAGAATTCTTTGGAAACGGCTATCTTCACATAAAAAGTAGACCCAAGCATTCACAGAACGTTCTTTGTGACATGTACATTGGACTCCCAGACTTGAAACTTTCTTTTGATAGAGCAGTGTTGGAACACACTTTTTGTAGAATCTTCATGTGTTCGTTTGGAGTGCTCTGTTGCCTATGGTGGAAAAAGGAATATCTTCACCTAAAAACCAGACAGAAGCATTCTCAGAGACTGCTTTGTGATGTGTGTGTTCAATTCGCAGAGTTGAAAGTTGCTTTGGATAGAGCAGTTTTGAAACACTGCTTTTGTAGAATCTGCTTGTTGCTATTGGGGGCTCTTTGAGGAATTTGTTGTAAACGGGATATCTTCACATACAAAGTAGACAGAAGCATTCTCAGAAACTGCTCTGTGATGTGCGCATTCAACTCACAGAGTTGAACCTTCCTTTTGCGAGAGCTGTTTTGAAGCAGTCTTTTTGTGGTGTCTGCAATTGGATATTTGGATCGATTTGAGGCCTAAGATGGAAAAGGAAATATCTTCACATACAAACTAGACATAAGCATTCTCAGACACTGCGTTGTGATGTGTGCATTCAACTCACAGAGTTGAACCTTCCTTTTGAGAGCAGTTTTGAAACAGTCTTTTTGAAGTATCTGCAAGTGGATGTTTGGAGATATTTGAGGCCTAAGATGGAAAAGGATATACCTTCATCTAAAAACTAGGCAGAAGCATTCTCAGAAACTGCTTTGTGATGTGGGGATTCAACTCACAGACTTGAAACTTTCTTTTGATAGAGCAGTGTTGAAACACACTTTTTGTAGAATCTGCAAGTGTTCATTTGGAGTGCTTTCTTCCCCATGGTGGAAAAAGAAATATCTTCACCTAAAAACTAGACAGAAACATTCTGAGAAAATACTTTGTGATGTAGTTGTTCAATTCACAGGGTTGAACCTTTCTTTAGATAAAGCAGTTTTGAAACACTGCTTTTGTAGAATCTTCTTGTGGATATTTGGAGCTGTTGGAGGAATTCGTTTTAAACGGGATATCTACACATTCAATCTAGTCAGAAGCATCCTCAGAAACTGGTTTGTGATGTGTGCATTCTACTCACAGAGTTGAACCTTCCTTTTGAGAGAACAGTTTTGAAACAATCTTTTTGTACTATCTGCAAGTGGATATTTGGAACAATGGGAGGACTAAGATGGAAAAGGAAATATCTTCACAGCCAAACTTGACAGAAGCTTTCTCAGAATCTGCTTTGTGATGTGTGCATTCACCTCACAGAGTGGAACCGTCCTTTTGATAGAGCAGTTCTGAAACAGTCTTTTTGTAGGATCTGCGAGTGTTCATTCTGGTGCGCTTTTAAGCCTTTGGCGGAAAAGGAAATATCTTCACAAAAAACTAGACAGAGGCATGCTCAGGAACTTCATTGAGATGTGTGCATTCAAGTAACTGAGTTGAATCTGCCTTTTGATAGAGCAGAATTGCAACACTCCTTTTGTAGAATCTGCTTGTGGATATTAGGAACTCTTTCAGGAATTCGTTGGCAGCTGGTATCTTCCCAAAAAAAGGAGAACCAAGCATTCTCACAAAGTTCTTTGAGATGTGTGCCTTAAACTCACAGACTTCAAACTTTCTTTTGAGAGATCAGGGTTGGAACACGCTTTTTGTAGAATCTGCAAGTGTTCATTTAGTGCGCTTTGTTGCCTACGGTGGAAAAAGAAATATCTTCAAATGAAAACTAGACAGAAACATTCTCAGAAACTCCTTTGTGAAGTGTGTGTCAAATTCACAGAATTGAAATTTTCTTTTGATAGAGCAGTTTTGAAACACCGCTTTTATAGGATCTGCTTGTGGATATTTGGAGCTCTTTGAGGATTTCGTTTTAAACGGAATATCTTCACATACAAACTAGACAGAAGCATTCTCAGAAACTGCTTAGTGATGTGTGCATTCAACTCACAGACTTGAACCTTTCTCTTGAAAGAGCAGTGTTGAAACACACATTTTGTAGGATGTGCAAGTGTTCGCTTGGAGCGTTTTTTTGCCTATGGTGGAAAAAGCAATATCTTCACATAAATACTAGACAGA